>NC_000012.12:40944976-41096491 GCF_000001405.40 Homo sapiens | reverse complement strand
TCAATTGTTGTGACTATTTCATGCATACTTGAGAAAAATGATTTTTTTAAACTTTTGGGTGTAGTGCTTGATATATACCCAAAAAGATCTATATTATTATGTTGTTTAGATCTTTCATGTCCTTATTATTTTGTCTGCTCTATTATGCTGTATCATCTTAAGTTGTATATATGCAAATTATGTAATATTTACTGTTTCTTTTTCTCTTTGGTGTGTCTTTTTTCCTTTTTTAAAAAATAGTTTTGGTATTTAAAAAGCTTTATATTTTATTCTAGTGGCTAATTTTACATTAATACATTTTATAATGCCCTTAATATGATTTTTTCTGTATTTAACCTTTTTGCTATCTCCCATATTAGTTTTAAATCGTATCTTTTGAGGCCTGTTACCTATACAAAAGTTAATAATATCATTCTACTTTCTACATTCTTTCTCCCTTGTTTTCACCTGTTTAAAGTTGCATTCTTTCTACTCTGTCAGAAAGTATAATGTTTGGAAATTATTCTTCTATAACCTCACTACGGTTTACGTTTTAGCTTTTCAGTTATGTGCAGTATTCACCATCAGTTCCTTTGCTGGAATTTTCCAGTCGGCTTTAGGTTGTATAAAGCTTACCCTGCAGTAGATTCCTCAAAAAGGGCACAGGTGGAGAGCATCGGATGAGTTCTTCCATGTTCAAAATATGTTTCTTCAGCTTTGATATATGAAGACCTGTGGTTTGCATTTTCTTTCCTTAGGTTTCTTGAAAGGCAGCTCTACTGCTGTTTTACTTTGTTTGTTATGGATACGAGTTGAATATTTTTGTCTTTGTGATTTTTGATGAGACAACAATAAATGTCCTATTAGATGAGTTTTATGTTGCTTGCATTGAAACACATCTTAACTCTAATGCACCCCCCTGCACCAATCTCTAGAGCCAGCAGGATACAACTGGTTTAAGTCAATCAGGGCCAACTTTTAGTAATGAGGATGGGGTTTAAATTAACCTAATCATCTGGCTTAGAGGAGGAAAACTGAGATGTTATGCCCTTGAATGTGGGGAAAGGGTTGCTGGGCAGTAAATAACAGCTGCTTTAGCAATGGAGTCTGTAAATGGAAGTCTGGAAAAAACTGCTCAGAGAGGTAGAAAAAGAAAATGACCAGGTAAAATATAAGTACATAGAGAATGAGTGGCATACATCATGGATAGAAAGTGATTGAAGAGGAAAAAGACACAAATGAAGACTTACAGCCAAGGAATTTAGTTTTCTCCCTTGGGAATTTTTGAAGAGTTTGTGTAGTGTGTTTCCTTATGTTGAGTGTTTAGGGATGCATCCAAGGATGAATTCGGGAAATGAAGAAATGGTAGTCCTGGTAGCTTGATGATGGAAGGAAAGCTCAGTTGAAACAAATGTGAGAACATGTTTGTGGCTGTTTCAGACTGCATACCTGTGAGTATCGTTCCTGGAAAACATGTGAGTTATTCATCTCAATGGAGACATTTCTACTACGAGTCTAGGAGGGGCTTAAAATCAGCTCATGTAGTAGTATCATTGAAAAAGATTAAAGCCCCAATACAGGAGCAAGCTCCCGAGAAATTGTGCATGGCAGTACAGGAAAGAGATGAACTATCAGTGGTGGAGGTAAGATGAATGGATTTTTGGATTGACAGTATCTAGTGCATTCTCAGATTTAGAATCTACATATTTAATGTCAATTTATGTAACAAATAGAATTATTTAGTTATAGATATTAAATAAAGCTTAAAGTTTGTACTTTATTTTACCTACGTCCAGGAGAACTAGGAAAAAATGGGAATAGAAAAATTAGGGTATTTATCACTCAATACTTCTTAATGATGAATATTTGGGGAAATTTATGTGGCAAATATACTGATTCAGGTATGAAATACATAATGTTAGGTCATTTTGTAAAACAGCACCTCTGAGAAACATTGTTTTGAAACCATTTGAAAAGTTTGCCAGGTAATTTATAGTATAATGTTTTACATGTTTTGTTATTCGGAATAGTAACATAAACTTATTAACTGTGAAACAATCACGTTGCTTATGGGAATTTTTTATTGAGATTATCACTCCAAGAGAAGAAGCCTAAGTTGGAAAAACAGAAGACTGAGTAGTAGCTCTCTAAGATATCAGGTCTCAATCCCTGGAAACTGCAAATTTTAATTCATGTGGCAAAGACTTTACATGTGTGATTAAGGATATTGAGGTAGGAATATTATCCTAAATTATCAGGATTAGTCCTAAATTCAATATATGTCTTTATAAGCGGGAGACAGAGGAGGATTTGACATGTATAGAAGAGGAAAAGGCAAAGAGGAGGAAGGTAAATGTTGGACTGATGTGACCACAAGCCAAAGCATTCTAGCAGTCACCAAAAGCTAGAAGAAGCAAGGGATGGATTCTCCTTAGATCCTTTAGAGGGAGTATGACCCTGACAATGTCTTGATTCTGGTTCACTGACACTGATTTGGAACCTCTGGCTCCAGAACTGTGACAGAATAAATCTCTGTTATTTTAAGCCACCAAGCTTGTGGTAATTACTTACAGTGGTCATAAGAAATAAATACAGTTGTCAAAGGGAATGGCATATTTTTTAAAGCAATCATCGATTTTGCCATCTAAGAGATTATGCACTGAAAATTATTTTATGAGTTGTCTTATTGTACGTGGTCTACAATTATTTAATTCTTAAATGCCAATGTTTATGAGAGCAGATAAACAGAAATTAACTATGAAAGTTCAAGTAAGTCCATATTTAGCCTCACATGTGTTAGAAATCTTTAGAATCAACTTTCCAGAGATCGTAACTAAAAATCCAAACCACACTTAATCAAATCTGGTAGACCCTTTAAATAATTAATGAGAAAATATATTTTAGAGGCCTTAAAAAGGTCTGCATGGTCAGCCAAAAAACACATGAAAAAATGTTCACCATCACTGGCCGTCAGAGAAATGCAAATCAAAACCACAATGAGATACCATCTCACACCAGTTAGAATGGCAGTCACTAAAAAGTCAGGAAACAACAGGTGCTGGAGAGGATGTGGAGAAATAGGAACACTTTTACACTGTTGGTGGGACTGTAAACTAGTTCAACCCTTGTGGAAGTCAGTGTGGCGATTCCTCACGGATCTAGAACTAGAAATACCATTTGACCCAGCCATCCCATTACTGGGTATATACCAAAAGGACTATAAATCATGCTGCTATAAAGACACATGCACACGTATGTTTATTGTGGCACTATTCACAATAGCAAAGACTTGGAACCAACCCACATGTCCAACAATGATAGACTGGATTAAGAAAATGTGGCACATATATACCATGGAATATACTATGCAGCCATAAAAAATGATGAGTTCATGTCCTTTGTAGGGACATGGATGAAATTGGAAACCATTATTCTCAGTAAACTATCGCAAGGACGAAAAACCAAACATCTCATGTTCTCACTCATAGGTGGGAATTGAACAATGAGAACACATGGACACAGGAAGGGGAACATCACACTCTGGGGACTGTTGTGGGGTGGGGGGAGGGGGGAGGGATAGAATTAGGAGATATACCTAATGCTAAATGATGAGTTAATGGGTGCAGCACAGCAGCATGGCACATGTATACATATGTAACTAACCTGCACATTGTGCACATGTACCCTAAAACTTAAAGTATAATAATAATAAAATAAAATAAAAAATTTAAAAAAAAGGTCTGCATGGTAACATTCAAGTGAGTTGTCAGCTGCTCTTCAGCTCATGAGAAGAAGTTGCTTTCCACTACTTAACTCCCACCTTCTCCTGATTTTATGAGTCTACTTCTTCAAAGCCAGCATAGCCCGATTGCTCATCTTTTAAAATTTTTTTCCTGAATAGCAATTGCCAGATTTTCTGTGGTGTGGTTTTTTTTTAAGTGACTGCATATTTGAAATTTTAGAAATCCTATAGAAACTTTCAAGAACTATAGCTTTCTGAGAGGTGTTATCAGAAGACACAGGTAAATGAAGGTATTCGAAGGAATGATGAATAAGATGACATTTAATAAGATGACATTTGTCCTTAGCAGATTCTAGAGAATGAGCAGAAAAGAGGCAGCTGCTCAGGAACCCAACCCCAAAGAGCAGCCTGTCACAGAAGGTGGAGAGTGATGGGACAACCTGGAGGTCAAAGGGCTTCCTGTGGTTATTCTGGGGACAGACATCTGTCTGAGGCAGCTCTTTAATCTGGGCTTGCTGACCCACATGGCATTTTATGCCTCTCTAGTATGGCCACCCAAACTGAGCTTTTCTGAGTGCCAGAGAACAGAGTGCTCCCCTTGAAGATTCATCACTATCTTATGCTAATCAGAATTTAAAAAAAACAAGGAAAGAAAGGAAAAAAAGTAAAACAAAAAAAAGTTCTGAAAAAATATATTGTCAGACATTGTGGCTCATGCCTATAGTCCTAGTTACTCTAGAGGCTGAAGTGGGAGGATGGCTTGAGCTCAGGAGTTCTAGGCTTCAGAGAGCTATGATTGTGCCACTGCACTCCAGCTGGGCTGACAGTGTGAGACCCTGTTTCTAAAAGAAAAAAATTTTATTAACTTGAATAGGTAGCATTCTTTATTTAATCATTAATGAATCATGATTTTGTATAACTTCATAGTGGCCTGAAGGCAGTATTTCTCTGGCTAAACAGTGTTTGATTATGCAAAATAAACAGAAAAATAAATTCACTGTAAAGTTCTAGGTGTCAGTAATAAGAAAGGCTGCGATTTCTTTTTACAGATTGAGATAATGAAAATAGTATTATAAAAATATATTGTACTTTTCTTCCTGCATTCAAAGCACAGAAAGAGATTGCTTGTCAGTTAGGACTTAGCCCACGAGTGCTCAGGACCAAGCATATATATGGAGTGAGATAGAAATACTCTTTATATGATGGATGTGAGATCCAAGTGAATAATTAGAGGGAGGCATAATTTATTTGTCTTTTTGTCTAATATTAATATTATAGAACTTTGGGATACAAGTTGGAGGAAATGTATCTTTCTGCTTGATTTGATGATATAGAGAGGTTGAGCCAGTAATTATTTATGTAAACTCCCACCTATTAGAGTGAACAAACCTGAAATTCACAAGGATCATGTATCTAGGTCAATATCTCCAGATCTGGAATTCCACTCTATCATTTAAGTCTGCTAGTATTTTTTTTTCCTAAAGAGTTGCTGTGTTTTCCAAGATTTTCAAGTGGTTTTTCAAATCCTCCCAAACTGGATTGCTTAGATTATGCCATTTCATGCCATATGAGCCATTTCAGAAATAAGCAATCTGCCAATCCATAATAAGACTACTTTTTTAAGAACAGGAGTTACAATTTAAGTAAGAGAAAGTCATGAATATACAGGATCAATAGTGTCTCAAGTGCCAAAAATGTCAATCGGTCAATCTTATCTGAGAGCTTTTTTGCATTAGCAAGGTACACAGTCCCGCTGGGGCCTGACGTCATTTTCTAAATCTGCCTCTTTACTTTCCTGAATAACTTTAATTCTACACAAGTGTATCTGAAATGAAAAGTGTAACTGTATCCGTATTTACTAATGTTAAGAATAATTTTTATTAGACATTCACATTATGCTTTACATTCTTCCTCAGCCCCTCTTTAATCACCTTCTTTATCCTGGATGATGATCACTGTGGACTCTGTAATTTTAGCACCTTCTGAAAGCTTCAGACCACTACAAATGCTTTAAATATTGACCATTTCTAATCCCTGAATCAAGCCAAAAAAGGTTGTATTTCCTTTTCTTCAAAGCCCTTCTCTTCTCAAATTATTTTGCGTTAGGATGTGAAAAGTTTGCCTGTGCTATTCTTTACAAATAATATTTGCATTTTAACTCTTGCCTATAACGACTTAATTTAGGGTTCTTCAAGCTGGTTCTGGTCTAAGAACATGCTTCCCACAAATTCTGAGAGTACTAAGGAGAATTTAAAACTTCTGATCATTTGATTATTATCTTTGGATGATATCTTTAAAAATAATGCAGGCATATTCTGGATCTTCTAGATGACCATGGGGTAACTAAATGTTTCCTATAATTGTATTCCTAGAGTATGTGTTTACAATTTCATTGGTGCCAAGTGCCAATTTCATTGGTACAATCTCTGGTTAATAAGAAAGGAACAGATGTGAACTTAATGATAAATAATGATTTTGCACTAAGTGATGTCCAAATGTCAGCACTGTCTGCCAAAAACTAGGACAGAAAAGTACGGTGGAAGGATTCAGATATCTAGGCCCATGGGCAGCAATGTAATTTCAGCAAAACAACATCAGTAGTCATATTAAATCAGTTATTAATTTTAATATTACTGGCCTTGTATCTTCGTTTTATTTTTAAATTTGTTTTGATATGAGTTACAAGAACAAGAAGTCTATAACTGATTTTACATTGTATATATTTAAATAACATTTTAATAATAATTTTAGTCAACTGAATAGCTTGTGATTGTTGAGTTGATTTGTTTGATTTCAGCTGTGGTTTCCTCAAATTTAAGGGACACTAGTTTAAAGGAAAGAAAGATAATTATATAGAAATCTACAATTCATCAGAGAGTTTGTCCTTCTGGTAATTTGCAAATCACTCAATACCAGTAGTTTTCATCCCAATAATTGGTTTTGGAAATGGAAAATAGGTAAGTAGTCAGTCAATGTTTCTGGGCACAGCAGATTAAGTGAGGAGGGAAATGTTGATCTATCCACTTTTAAAATATCTATATGACAATATTCTCTAAAGGAGAATCTCATCATTTACAAACAATGAAATATTAGAGAGAGAAACTTTTAAGCAATATAACGTATTTCTGCTTATCTAAGCAAGTTCTTTGTAGAGTCATGATGATATTTCAGATTTTTACTTTACAGACTAACATGCATTAAGCTGTCCTCCACTGTAGTCTGAATTAGGTGTAAAAGGCGAACATTATTATTTCACCATTTGTTTGCCCTCCAAGGTGGCCTATTACCTGTTAGATAAAGCACAGTTTTTATTTATTTATTTATTATTATTTTTTTTTTAGCGGGGTCTATAAAGCACTCACCATCCACTTTTGTCCATCACTCCGGCCTCAATTTTCATACTCCAGCCATACTGTCCTTCTTACAACCTCTGAGCCTCACTAGGCTTCTCTCAATTTGGTGCCTTCACAGTGCCTTTCTTTTTGCTGGGCACCTTCTTCTCCTCATTGGTCCCCATGTAATACCCAGGCTTTTTTCTTTTCAGGTAGTCTCATATCCATTGTTCCCTCTGAGAAACTTCTCCTGATTCCTAGACTGCTGCTGCCAAGCCCACTCCATTTTCAAAGCATCTTAAATCTTCCCTATCATAGGACTTATCACACTTGATTATAATTTGTTCTTTAGTCATCTGTATTTCTTGTTAACCAAGAATAATAACTTTTATAAGCCCCTTGTAGGAGATATGTGCATGAAATAGCCACACTCCCTATTCTAACAATTTTACCTTAGGACATAATTAGAAATGCAGAGTTATGTACAACTAGGTTTAGTGAATTTTTAGTATCTTATTGAAACATAACATGGATATATATAAAACTGTGCAAGTCATAAGTGTAAAACTTAATGAATTTTCACACACTGCAATTACCACCCAGATTAGGAAAAACCATCTCCCTAGAAGTCCCTTCACGCTCCCTATCACTCACTACCCTCACCTGCCTTTCCAAATATAAACAATATCCTGATGAAATAGACCAATTTTTCCTGTTCTTGTACTTTTTTTTGATATATAATAGTTGTACATATTTTGGGGGTATGTGTAATATTTTGATACGTGCTCAAATGTGTAATGATCAAACCATGGCAATTACTGTCCTTGAACTTTTTAAAAAGTAATCTTACAGCATGTATTATTTTGTGTTTGGCTTCTCCATCCTATTTATGTGTGTAAGATACATTCCTGTTGAATGTAGCAATAGGCTCTACATATTCATTGTCGTATAATATTTTATTACATGAAAGTTACCTGTGACGGTTAAGTTTATGTGCCAGTTTGACAGGGTTAAGGGATACCCAGATAGCTGCCAAAACATTATTTCTGGGTATGCCATTGAGGATGTTTACTGAAGAGATTAGCATTTAAGTGAGTAGACTGAGTAAAGAAGATGGTCCTCACCAATGTGGCTGGGCATCATCCAATCTGTTGAAGGCCTAAGTAGAACAAAGAGGTAGAGGAAGGGTGAATTTACTCTCTCTGTTGGAGCTGGGACATCCATCACTTCCTGCCCTGACATCAGCACTTCTTGTTCTCAGGCTTTGTACTTGAACTGGAACTATACCACCACATTTCCTGGGCCTTTAGCTTGCAGATAGGAAATGGGGGGACTTCATAATCATGTGAGCCAGTCTCTCATAATAAATCTCTGTCTATCTATCTGTCTTTCATCTATCTATTTTCTATCCTATTCATTCTGTTTCTCTGGAGAACCTGACTAATACAATACCATATGGTATTATCTAAGCTATTATTGATGGGCATTTAGGTCAATTTTAAATTTGAGCTATTAGGAACAATGCTAGCATGAACATTCTTATACTTGGTGCACATATGCACACATTTTTCTATCATATATACCCATAAGTGAAATCACTTGCTCATAAGATATGTGCATTAGGCCACATTCATACTGCTAAGAAGAAATACCTGAGACTGTGTAATTTATAAAGAAAAGGAGGTTTAATGGACTCACAGTTCCACATGGCTGGGGAGGCCTCACAATCATGGTGGAAGGCAAAGGAGGAGCAAAGGCACATCTTACAGGGCAGCAGGCAAGAGAGCACGTGCAGGCGAAATGTCCTTCATAAATCCATCAGACCTTGTGAGACTTATTCGCTATCATGAGAACATCAAGGGAAAAAAACAGCCATATGATTCAATTACCTCCCACTGGTTGTCTCCCACAACATGTGGGGATTATGGAAGCTCCAATTCAAGATAAGATTTGGGGGGAGGAGCCAAGATGGCCGAATAGGAACAGCTCCGGTCTACATCTCCCAGCGTGAGCGACGCAGAAGACGGGTGATTTCTCCATTTCCATCTGAGGTAGCGGGTTCATCTCACTAGGGAGTGCCAGACAGTGGGTGCAGGTCAGTGGGTGCGTGCACCGTGAGCGAGCCCAAGCAGAATGAGGCATTGCCTCACTCGGGAAGCACAAGGGGTCAGGGAGTTCCCTTTCCTAGTCAAAGAAAGGGGTGACAGATGGCACCTGGAAAATCGGGTCACTCCCACCCAAATACTGCGCTATTCCGACGGGCTTAAAAAACCACACACCAGGAGATTACATCCCGCACCTGGCTCGGAGGGTCCTATGCCCAAGGAATCTCGCTGATTCCTAGCACAGCAGTCTGAGATCAAACTGCAAGGCGGCAGCGAGTCTGGGGGAGGGGCGCCCGCCATTGCCCAGGCTTGCTTAGGTAAACAAAGCAGCCGGGAAGTGCGAGCTGGGTGGAGCCCACCACAGCTCAAGGAGGCCTGCCTGCCTCTGTAGGCTCCACCTCTGGGGGCAGGGCACAGACAAACAAAAAGACAGCAGTTACCTCTGCAGACTTAAATGTCCCTGTCTGACAGCTTTGAAGAGAGCAGTGGTTCTCCCAGCATGCAACTGGAGATCTGAGAACGGGCAGACTGCCTCCTCAAGTGGGTCCCTGACCCCTGACCCCTGAGCAGCCTAACTGGGAGGCACCCCCCAGCAGGGGCAGACTGACACCTCACAGGGCCCAGTACTCCAACAGACCTGCAGCTGAGGGTCCTGTCTGTTAGAAGGAAAACTAACAAACAGAAAGGACATCCACACCAAAAACCCATCTGTACATCACCATCATCAAAGACCAAAAGTAGATAAAACCACAAAGATGGGGAAAAAACAGAGCAGAAAAACTGGAAACTCTAAAAAGCAGAGCACCTCTCCTCCTCCAAAGGAACGCAGTTCCTCACCAGCAACGGAACAAAGCTGGACGGAGGATGACTTTGACGAACTGAGAGAAGAAGGCTTCAGATGATCAAATTACTCCAAGCTACGGGAGGACATTCAAACCAAAGGCAAAGAAGTTGAAAGCTTTGAAAAAAATTTAGAAGAATATATAACTAGAATAACCAATACAGAGAAGTGCTTAAAGGAGCTGATGGAGCTGAAAACCAAGGCTCGAGAACTACGTGAAGAATGCAGAAGCCTCAGGAGCCGGTGCGATCAACTGGAAGAAAGGGTATCAGCAATGGAAGATGAAATGAATGAAATGAAGCAAGAAGGGAAGTTTAGAGAAAAAAGAATAAAAAGAAATGAGCAAAGCCTCCAAGAAATATGGGACTATGTGAAAAGACCAAATCTACGTCTGATTGATGTACCTGAAAGTGACGGGGAGAATGGAACCAAGTTGGAAAACACTCTGCAGGATATTATCCAGGAGAACTTCCCCAATCTAGAAAGGCAGGCCAACATTCAGATTCAGGAAATACAGAGAACGCCACAAAGATACTCCTCAAGAAGAGCAACTCCAAGACACATAATTGTCAGATTCACCAAAGTTGAAATGAAGGAAAAATGTTAAGGGCAGCCAGAGAGAAAGGTCGGGTTACACTCAAAGGGAAGCCCATCAGACTAACAGTGGATCTTTCGGCAGAAACTCTACAAGCCAGATGAGAGTGGGGGGCAATATTCAACATTCTCAAAGAAAAGAATTTTCAACCCAGAATTCCATATCCAGCCAAACTAAGCTTCATAAGTGAAGGAGAAATAAAATACTTTACAGACAAGCAAATGCTGAGAGATTTTGTCACCACCAGGCCTGCCCTAAAAGAGCTCCTGAAGGAAGTGCTAAAACATGGAAAGGAACAACTGGTACCAGCCGCTGTAAAATCATGCCAAACTGTAAAGACCATAGAGACTAGGAAGAAACTGCATCAACTAACGAGCAAAATAACCAGCTAACATCATAACGACAGGATCAAATTCACACATAACAATATTAACTTTAAATGTAAATGGACTAAATGCTCCAATTAAAAGACACACACTGGCAAATTGGATAAAGAGTCAAGACCCATCAGTGTGCTGTATTCAGGAAACCCATCTCACGTGCAGAGACACACATAGGCTCAAAATAAAAAGATGGAGGAAGATCTACCAAGCAAATGGAAAACAAAAAAAGGCAGGGGTTGCAATCCTAGTCTCTGATAAAACAGACTTTAAACCAACAAAGATCAAAAGAGACAAAGAAGGCCATTACATAATGGTAAAGGGATCAATTCAACAAGAAGAGCTAACTATCCTAAATATATATGCACCCAATACAGGAGCACCAAGATTCATAAAGCAAGTCCTGAGTGACATACAAAAAGACTTAGACTCCCACACAATAATAATAGGAGACTTTAACACCCCACTGTCAACATTAGACAGATCAACGAGACAGAAAGTTAACAAGGATACCCAGGAATTGACCTCAGCTCTGCACCAAGCAGACGTAATAGACATCTACAGAACTCTCCACCCCAAATCAACAGAATATTCATTTTTTTCAGCACCACACCACACCTATTCCAAAATTGACCACATTTTGAGGAAGAAAAGCTGTCCTCAGCAAATGTAAAAAAAACAGAAATTATAACAAACTATCTCTCAGAACACAGTGCAATCAAACTAGAACTCAGGATTAAGAATCTCACTCAAAACCACTCAACTACACGGAAACTGAACAACCTGCTCCTGAATGACTACTGGGTACATAACAAAATGAAGGCAGAAATAAAGATGTTCTTTGAAACCAACGAGAACAAAGACACAACATACCAGAATCTCTGGGACACATTCAAAGCAGTGTGTAGAGGGAAATTTATAGCACTAAATGCCCACGAGAGAAAGCAGGAAAGATCTAAAATTAACACCCTAACATCACAATTAAAAGAACTAGAAAAGCAAGAGCAAACACATACAAAAGCTAGCAGAAGGCAAGAAATAACTAAAATCAGAGTAGAACTGAAGGAAATAGAGACACAAAAAACCCTTCAAAAAATTAATGAACCCAGGAGCTGGTTTTTTGAAAGGATCAACAAAATTGATAGACCGCTAGCAAGACTAATAAAGAAGAAAAGAGAGAAGAATCAAATAGACGCAATAAAAAATGATAAAGGGGATATCACCACCAATCCCACAGAAATACAAACTACCATCAGAGAATACTACAAACACCTCTATGCAAATAAACTAGAAAATCTAGAAGAAATGGATAAATTCCTTGACACATACACTCTCCCAAGACTAAACCAGGAAGAAGTTGACTCTCTGAATAGACCAATAACAGGCTCTGAAATTGTGGCAATAATCAATAGCTTACCAACCAAAAAGAGTCCAGGACCAGATGGATTCACAGCCGAATTCTACCAGAGGTACAAGGAGGAGCTGGTACCATTCCTTCTGAAACTATTCCAATCAATAGAAAAAGAGGGAATCCTCCCTAATTCATTTTATGAGGCCAGCATCATCCTGATACCAAAGCCGGGCAGAGACACAAACAAAAAAGATAATTTTAGACCAGTATCCTTGATGAACATTGATGCAAAAATCCTCAATAAAATACTGGCAAACCGAATCCAGCAGCACATCAAAAAGCTTATCCACCATGATCAAGTGGGCTTCATCCCTGGGATGCAAGGCTGGTTCAATATATGCAAATCAATAAATGTAATCCAGCATATAAACAGAACCAAAGACAAAAACCACATGATTATCTCAATAGATGCAGAAAAGGCCTTTGACAAAATTCAACAACCCTTCATGCTAAAAACTCTCAATAAATTAGGTATTGATGGGACGTATCTCAAAATAATAAGAGCTATCTATGACAAACCCACAGCCAATATCATACTGAATGGGCAAAAACTGGAAGCATTCCATTTCAAAACTGGCACAAGACAGAGTTGCCCTCTCTCACCACTCCTATTCAACATAGTGTTGGAAGTTCTGGCCAGGGCAATTAGGCAGGAGAAGGAAATAAAGGGTATTCAATTAGAAAAAGAGGAAGTCAAATTGTCGCTGTTTGCAGACAACATGATTGCATATCTAGAAAACTCCACTGTCTCAGCCCAAAATCTCCTTAAGCTGATAAGCAACTTCAGCAAAGTCTCAGGATACAAAATCAATGTACAAAAATCACAAGCATTCTTATACACCAACAACAGACAAACAGAGAGCCAAATCATGAGTGAACTCCCATTCACAATTGCTTCAAAGAGAATAAAATACCTAGGAATCCAACTTACTAGGGATGTGAAGGACCTCTTCAAGGAGAACTACAAACCACTGCTCAAGGAAATAAAAGAGGATAAAAAGAAATGGAAGAATATTCCATGCTCATGGGTAGGAAGAATCAATATCGTGAAAATGGCCATACTGCCCAAGGTAATTTACAGATTCAATGCCATCCCCATCAAGCTACCAATGACTTTCTTCACAGAATTGGAAAAAAACTACTTTAAAGTTCATATGGAACCAAAAAAGAGCCCGCATCGCCAAGTCAATCCTAAGCCAAAAGAACAAAGCCGGAGGCATCACACTACCTGACTTCAAACTATACTACAAGGCTACAGTAACCAAAACAGCATGGTACTGGTACCAAAACAGACATATAGATCAATGGAACAGAATGGAGCCCTCAAAAATAATGTCACATATCTACAACTATCTGATCTTTGACAAACCTGAGAAAAACAAGCAATGGGGAAAGGATTCCCTATTTAATAAATGGTGCTGAGAAAAGTGGCTAGCCATAGGTAGAAAGCTGAAACTGGATCCCTTCCTTACACCTTATACAAAAATCAATTCAAGATGGATTAAAGACTTACATGTTAGACCTAAAACCATAAAAACCCTAGAAGAAAACCTAGGCATTACCATTCAGGACATAGGCATGGGCAAGGACTTCATGTCTAAAACACCAAAAGCAATGTCAACAAAAGCCAAAATTGACAAATGGGATCTAATCAAACTAAAGAGCTTCTGCACAGCAAAAGAAACTACCATCAGAGTGAACAGGCAACTTACAAAATGGGAGAAAATTTTCACAACCTACTCATCCGACAAAGGGCTAATATCCAGAATCTACAATGAACTCAAACAAATTTACGAGAAAAAAACAACCCCATCAAAAAGTGGGCAAAGGACATGAACAGACGTTTCTCAAAAGAAGACATTTATGCAGCCAAAAAACACATGAAAAAATGCTCACCATCACTGGCCATCAGAGATATGCAAATCAAAACCACAATGAGATACCATCTCACACCAGTTAGAATGGCAATCATTAAAAAGTCAGGAAAGGACAGGTGCTGGAGAGGATGTGGAGAAATAGGAACACTTTTACACTGTTGGTGGGACTGTAAACTAGTTCAACCATTGTGGAAGTCAGTGTGGTGATTCCTCAGGGATCTAGAACTAGAAATACCATTTGACCCAGCCATCCCATTACTGGGTATATACCAAAAGGACTATAAATCACGCTGCTTTAAAGACACATGCACATGTATGTTTATTGCGGCATTATTCACAATAGCAAAGACTTGGAACCAACCCACATGCCCAACAATGATAGACTGGATTAAGAAAATGTGGCACATATACACCATGGAATACTATGCAGCCATAAAAAAGGATGAGTTCATGTCCTTTGTAGGGACATGGATGAAATTGGAAATCATCATTCTCAGTAAACTATCGCAAGGACAAAAAACCAAACACCGCATGTTCTCACTCATAGGTGGGAATTGAACAATGAGAACACATGGACACAGGAAGGGGAACATCACACTCTGGGGACTGTTGTGGGGTGGGGGGAGGGGGGAGGGATAGCATTGGGAGATATACCTAATGCTAGATGAGGAGTTAGTGGGTGCAGCACACCAGCATGGCACAGGTATACATATGTAACTAACCTGCACATTGTGCACATGTACCCTAAAACTTATAATAATAATAAATAAATAAATAAATAAATAAATAAATAAATAAATAAATAAAAAAGATTTGGATGCTGACACAGCCAAACCATATTATTTTGCCCCTAGCCCTCCCAAATCTGATGTTCTCACATTTCAAAACAAATTTTGCCTTTCCAACAGTTCCTCAAAGTCTTAACTCATTTCAGCATTAACTGAAAAGTCCGCAGTCCAAAGTCCCACCTGAGACAAGGAAAGTCCCTTCCACCTATGAGCTTGTAAAAACAAAAGCAAGTTAGTTACTTCCTAGATACAATGAAGGCCCAAGCGTTGGGTAAATACACCCATTTCAAATGGGAGACATTGGCCAAAAAAAGGGGCTACAGGCCCCACACAAGTCCAAAATCCAGCAGGGCAGTCAAAACTTAAAGCTCCAAAATGATCTCCTTTGACTCTGTGTCTCACATCCGGGTCAGGCTGATGTAAGAGGTGGGTTCCCATGATCTTTGGGACCATGTGGCTTTGCAGGGTATAGCCCCCTTCTGGCTGCTTTCCCAGGCTGGCATTGTGTGTCTGTGGCTTTTCCAGGCACATGTTGCAAGCTGCCAGTGGATATACCATTCTCGGGTCTGGAGGATGGTGGTCCTCTTCTCACAGATCCACTAGGCAGTGCCCTAGTAGAGACCCACTGTGGGGACTCCCACCCCAGATTTCCCTTCTGCACTGCCCCAGCAAAGGTTCTCCATGAGGGTTTTGACCCTGCAGCACACTTCTGCCTGGACATCCACGTGTTTCCCTACATCCTCTGAACTCCAGGCAGAGGTTCCCAAACCTCAATTCTTGACTTCTGTGTACACGCAGGCCCAACACCATGTGAAAACCACCAAGACTTGGGCCTTGCACCCTCTGAAGCAGTGGCCTGAACTGTACATTGACCCTTTTTAGCCATGCTGGGATGTAGGGCACCAAGTCCTGAGGCTACACAGAGCAGCAAAGCTGTGGGCTGAGCCCACGAAATCATTTTTTCCTCCTAGGCCTACCAGCTTTTGATGGAACGGGCTGCCATGAAGACCTCTGACATGGACTGGAGACATTTTCTCCATTGTCTTGCAATTAACATTTGGCTCCTTGATACATATGCAATTTTCTGCAGTCAGCTTGAATTTTTGCTCAGAAGATGCATTTTTCTTTTCTATTGCATTGTCAAGCTGCAAATTTTCCAAACTTTTATGCTTTGCTTTCCTTTTAAATATAAGTTTCAATTCCAAACCATACCTTTGTGAACACATAAAACTGAATGTTTTCAACAGCAACCAAGTCACCTCTTGAATGCTTTGCTGCTTAGACATTTCTTCCACCAGATACCCTAAATCATGTCTCTCAAGTTCAAAGTTCCACAGCGTTCTAGGGCAGGGACAAATGCTACCAGTCTTTTTGCTAAAATATAGCAACAGTCACCTTTATTCCAGATCCCAACAAATTCCACATATCCATCTGAGACCACCTCAGCCTGGCCTTCATTGTCCATATCGCTATCAGCATTTTGGTCAAAGCTATTCATCAAGTCTCTAGGAAGTTCCAAACTTTCCCACACTTTCCTGTCTTTTTCTGAGCCCTCCAAACTGTTCCAGCCTCTGCCTGTTACCCAGTTTCAAAGTCACTTCTACATTTTTGGATATCCTTATAGTACCCCTCTCTACTGGTACCAATTTAGTGTATTAGTCCATTTTCACACTGCTATGAAGAAATACCTGAGACTGGGTAATTTATAAAGTAAAAGGGGTTTAATCAACTCACAGTTCCACATGGCTGGGGAGGCTTCACAATCATGGCAGAAGGTGAAGGAGGAGCAAAGGCATGTCTTACATGGTGGCAGGCAAGAGACTATGTGCAGGGGAACTGCCCTTTATAAAACCATCAGATCACATGAGACCCATTCACTATCAGGAGAGTAGCACAGGAAAAACCTGTCCCTGAGATTCAATTACCTACCACTGGGTCCCTCCCATGACATATAGGCTTTATGGGAACTACAGTTCAAGATGTGATTTGGGTGGGGGCACAGCCAAACCATATCAGTATGTGTATGTTTAAGATTTCTATAGAATGTTAAAATGTTTTGTTATGACCAGATGATTCACAAAAGAAAAATATATAAGTAATAATTATACAAAGAGGCGGTCAGAACATTTAGTAATCAGAGAAATGTAAATTAAAACACTTTACACACGACCAGATTGGGTAAATTTTGTATCTATATAATATCAAGCTTGGATGAGAAAATGGAAATCCTCAAGTGTTGAAAGAAGTGAAAATTGGAGTCACCTTTTTCAAACTTAATTTTTCTCATTGCTGTATCCTCAACATGGAGAGGAGAAGTACGCTGTTGAATGAATGAATATGCATGATAAATAGTATATTATACACATGTACAATAATCTAGTAATTCTATTACTGAATGGTAGCCAGAAAAATTCCCATAGAGTTACATGAAGAAGCATGCAAAATGTTTACTGTAAAATTATCTCCAGTGGGGAGATTATAAGACAGAATGGGAACAAAGTGATAAAGTGTACCAAAATTAACCAGGGGAATAAACTAGAAATACATATAGATATATCAGAAAAAGTAATGTTAACCAAAAGAGCTATGAAGCAGAATAGAATATGCAGCAAAATATAATTTATATAAATAAAACCAAATATATGAATCCTATTTATTGTTCATGTAATAGCATATAAATAAAATAAAGAAGATTAATTGAAAGGACAAACATTGAATACATGACAGTGAAAGCATGGTGTGATGTGGGATTGGAGATAAAATAGAGAAATACATAATAAAATACATAAATAAATACATAAAAATAAATAATAAATGAGACATTGTGCATAGGGCGTTAGTGTGTGCCACAAATTTTAGAGTATTATTGCTTATGTTAATATGATCTAGCATGCCTATGGTGCAAACATTTAGAAATGAAATGTTGCAGAAACAATACTCAGAAGAGGAGGTCCTGGATATGTCCTGGGTGTACAACTATAGATACATTTCTTCCTCTCTAGTGATCACCCTTCAATGAGCCTTTTCTCCACCTGCAATTTTTTACAGACTTAAACCTGTAAACATAGCATTGTCAAAAGCCGATTGTTATTTTAGTAAAGAGTTCTCGCGATATTAGAATATGTGAAATAAGCACATTATCAATCAAGTAACATAAAAATATTTCTAGAAAATATGCTAAAACACTGAAAATCTAAAACCTCTGTTTTTTATTCAACAATCCATTCATTGTATATGTGTTGAGTCCTTATTTCATGCATGGGCTTGTACTAATGTGTGAAGATGTAAAGAAATAGTGAAACAGTTGAGTTAAATATAACTCTTTGAGCTGTTGCCTTTATGATAGCTATAAAGGTAAAAACTATTTCCCTGGACAGCCATGCTCATCTCAGCTCCCACTGGGATCCCAGACAGCCAAACTGGAGTCTTGCATCTTCAGTAAACCAATTACTTTTCAACATCCTAACCTAAATATAACTTTCATCTTCTTTACCCTAAATTTAGTCAAAGAAGCTGCAAGTGTTCATAAGAACTGATAAGTACCATATTTCTATTCCACACATTTTTAAAATATGTTAACATCTCTTAAAATAGGATGCATCTTAAAATTAATGGTATCTTTCAATTGCACTTAGCCAGGAGACAACTATGGCAGAGTTGTTACTGCTTACACATAAGTCACCTTATCATAACTTTTTATATTATCATTACTTCAGTTGAGTTGGAAATATTTTGGAGATAACACAGGAGTTTGAATGCTTTTTAAGTGTCTTATAATTCAGCACTGAAATTAAATAATAGCATACAGAAATACATGAAAATAGAGTAGCTGGGCATATAGGGTTACCTTTGTTATTTCTATTGGTCAAATTGGACAACTTCATTTTTTTAAATTTTTGTCAACAAGTCACTTAAGAGTCTTAATCATATGCCAATTGTGTAGTTATCTATTACTATATAATAAATTACTCCAAAATGTAGTGGCTTAACACAACAAATAATTATTATCTCACATAGTTCCTGAAGGTCATAAACCTGGGAGCAGATATTTGGGTGGTTCTAGCTCAAGGTCTTTCATTACATTGCAGTTAGGCTTTCAGCCTAGATTGTATTCATCTGAAGGCTTGACTGAGGCTGATATGCTTGCAAGATGGCTCACTCACAGGGATGCTGGCAGGAGGTATCAGTTTCTCACTATATGAGTATCTCCACAGGGCTGACTGAATTCCCTCAGAACATAACAACTGGCTTCTCAAAGAGACATTGATCTAAGAGAGAGAGAGAGAGAATGATTAAAATGGAGACCACACTGGCTTTTAATGACCTAGCTTCCAAAGTCCTTCACTGTCACTTCTGCTTTATCCCATTCTCTAGAGGTGATTCATTAAATTCAGCACACCCTCAAGGGGACCAGAATTACATTCCACCTCTTGAAGAGAAGAGTTTATGAACATGTTTTTTTCAATGGCCACAATAACTTTCTGTTGATGTCTCATAAGATTAAGAAAACACTGGCAGAATGGGCATCAGAAGCTTGAAAGAAATATTGGAGCATCCTTTAAGTAATGATGTAGACACCAATACCACCAAAATATGACATTTTGTAACAAAATACAAACATCAACTACTCAGAGTTTAGGAATGATTTATGAGAGTCTTATTCTAAATGTGGAGAATTTGTAGGACTATGTTAGCACAATTTTTGTATAGTTTCTTCATTGTCTATGCATAACAAACCATAAAAACATATTTCCAAATAAGTAGCTGTTTCAATAAGAATAACAATTCTACATGATAAACAAGCATTGTGTTATAGTTTAATTATAAATTTTTTTCTTTTTTAATAGTAAAATTGATGGCCTCTTAGATCCAGTGGAATTTGGTAAGTATCTGTGGTACATTACATCATTTAGCTCCAATTCTTCAACACTCCCTATATCCACACACTTTGCTGTACCTTTAAAGTGCCCACCCACATATGTGGGTGACCTGCCTTGCCTCTTGGCTCTGGGTTTATAATATGACTCGATCTTGTCAATAGGATGTTAACAGACATAAGGCAAGCAAAAGCTTGAGAGAGTAGCTACATGTTTCCACTCGCTTTCTTGCACCTCTGTCAGCCGTGAGAACGTGCTAGGTCTAGCCTGATGGAGAATGGGAGAAAAGTGAAGCGGAGCCAAGTTATCCTAAAGGCCCCATCTAAGGGCAGCTTTGAACAGCTGACAGTCAGCTGACTCCCGAACATGTGAGGGAGTTCAGTTCAGATAAGCAAAGCCACGTATCTGACCTACTGCTGTCCAAATGTGTGAGCAATTTTTTTATTGTTATATGCCACTGAGGTTTTGTGGATAACGAATATAGTTCACTTAAAATAGTGCATGTGTTTGCAGCACTTTAATGTGACACGTCTCTTCCCTGTAATTAATTGAAGTGCCTGAGTAATGTGGATAAGCTTTTCTAATGAAGTTTCAAAGTCCCTTGGATATTCATGTCATTCTTAGAAATAATAAAAGCAGTGTAGATGGGACTGATTGACAATGGTTTTCCTTCACCTTTCATCACCAGGAATAGTGCACATTTAAAATGTGGTAAAAGGAGGGTCTTCGTGCTGACAGCCACCTGATATTTCTTCTGGGGGAACCATCTTTCTCCACTCCATCTAGTCATGGTGGGAATTAATTTCTTTTCCTTCCTTCCTTCCTTCCTTCCTTCCTTCCTTCCTTCCTTCCTTCCTTCATTCCTTCCTTCCTTTCTTCCTTCCTTCTCTTTCTCTCTTTCTTCCTTTGTCTTTCTTTTTCTTTTCTCTCTTTTCTCTCTTTCTTTCTTTTTTGAGACAGAGTCTCACTCTGTCACCCAGGCTGGACTGCAGTGGTGGCACGATGTCGGCTCACTGCAACCTCTGCCCTCGGGGTTCAAGCAATTCTTCTGCCTCAGCCTCCTGAGTATCTGGAATTACAGGCACACACCACCACACCAGCTGATTTTTTTGTATTTCTAGTAGTGGTGGGGTTTCACCATGTTGGGCAGGCTGGTCTTAAACTCCTGACCTCAGGTGATCCACCCTCCTCGGCCTCCCAAAGTGCTGGGATTACAGACATGAGCCACCACTCCTGGCTGGTGGGTATTTCTATTACAATGTTTGTGCCACCTTTTGACTACTCAGAAGGGTGGACAGGATATCCAAAATGGCAAATAACATATACCAAATTCCTGGGGATAATCTGAGTCTTCACTGAGATTTTCTATGTATGCTGAGTCAGAATGAGAGAGGCTCTAATACTTTTGGGCCATTGATCAGGAGGATGTAGGTTTGGAACTGTCAGCACCCCGGATTCCTCCCACAAAAAGATAGCCTGCCAGAGATGCTGAATCCACTGATGAAGAGAAACCCTGAGAACATTACTAAAGACCTTATATCTATTCCATCTTAGAGACTACATTATTTGAGCCAATAGACTCTCTTTTTTTTTTTTATTAAAGCTATTGGAGTTGAGTGTCTGTCATTTGCAACTAAAAGAATTCTGAACAACGGAGAAGTATTATCCCTATTTTACAGAAGAGGAAACTGAACCTCAGAAGGTTACATTTCTTCTCCAAGATCTTACAGGTAATAACAGGTAGCATTAAAATATTATCACAGATCTGTCCAATGGTCATGATCTTTTCAAAATTTCATTTTTTAAAAAGTTGTTTTAATGTACATACTGTAAATCTCACCCTTTTGATGGGCAATTTTGTGAGTTTTGACAAATGCATAGATTTGAGTCACCACAACCAGTTCTACTGCCCCTAAGAGTTCCCTCATGCTGCTTCTGCGCAGTCAGACCCTCCACCTCCTCTCAACTCCTTGCAACCACGAGCATTCTGACTGTTCCAGAATGTTCTATAAATGGCATCACGCAGCATTTTGAATCTGGCTTCTTTTCAATTAGCATAATGCATTTGAGTTTCATCCATATTGTTGTAAATTATCAACATAAATGCTTTCTGAAAAGATGCTTAGAGCAGCATTTCAGTCATATCCACATTAGTGTGAGTGATGCATATCAGGTTTTAAAAAGAGGAAATGAGAACTACTAGGTTGAGACAAAATATATGTCCACTCAGTACCTGTGAATGTGACCTTATTTAGAAATAGGGTCTTTGCATATGTAATTAAATTGAGGTCATGCTGGATATTAAGGTGGTCCATAATCCAGTGACTGGTGTCCTGATAAAAGAGAGAAATGCGGACACCAAGACACACAGGGAATATGCCGTATGACAAGAGGTAGAGATTAGAGTGTTGCAGCTGCAAGCCAAGGAATACCAAGCACTGCCTGCAACCATGAAAAGCTACGAAAGAGGGGTGTGGAACAGATTCTCCCTCAGAGTCTCCAGAAGGCAGGCTGACACCTTCATTTTAGACTTACAGCTCCAAGAACTGTGAGAAAATAAGTTATGTTGTAAACCCCTTGGTTTGTGCTAATTTTTACTGCAGTTCTGGGAAACAAATGCAAGAAAAGATTAAGATATTTGACTTTGCTTTCAAGGCAGCATGTGTCAAAGAAAATGATCCTGAATGAAAAAGGATTAACTTCACGGTTGTGCTTTAAGATGCGCCTGACTGAATTCTAGAGCAAAATTAGTAATGACATTGTAGGAACTGATATAATTACCCCAGGTAGCAGACTTATTTCTAGTAATGGAAAAGTGAAACTTGGTTTTAAAATAGGATGAGCAATGGTGAAACCTATAAACTAGTTTACAAGTCAATTCATTCAAAGTCATCATGTGTCTATTCTGAAGTTTGAGGGAGGCTTTCATCATTTTTTTTTATTAGCAACCTCCAGAAGATGATAGACTCAGGAAATTAAGTATTAAAATGTAATTCATTTTCCAAGTATCATGAAGGAAAAAGAAAAAGTCCACATTCCTTTAGAGAAGAAATCTTCTGAGGTGCATTTTTGTCTGCAGTCTGGATACAAACAAGGTAGGGGATATTTTTGCCAGACAAAAAGTGTATTGTATTTTGATATTAAGATGTAGAACAAAAGATAAGAATAATTATAAACAAATCAGCATTTTAAGCAAGCAAAGTTTATGGATTCTTTTTTTTTCTGAAGAGATATTAAGTTATGTAGACAGGCTATTGAAATATATTCTTCTTTCAGTTGACACTATCAGTTAATCTAGCCTGCAGTGATCATGAAAACCTCAAACCCAACTCCCTGTAAGATAGTACTGAACATTCCCTCCAAAATATAGCTCACTCCCCAGATTCTTATTTGGTAAATCTGGACTGGGGTCCAGGGAATTCATTTTAATTTTTCTAATTCTCCAGGTGATCGTGATGGGCAACCAGGTTTGAGAATCATTAACATGGAACACACTCTCGCAGAAAGAAGCTTTGATCTCCCAAAGCCTGGAGAATCTGAGCTGGGGTCAGTTGAAGGTCAAATACCAAATACAAAATATTAGAAGGGAAGTAATCTAATACTTAAGGTCTAGAAACAGAGACAACGTCCAAAAAGGAAAACCAGAATCCAGGGTGAAGCAAGCTTCATGAAACAGGAAGGGAGATGAGAATTCCAATGCGAAACCACGATCAGAACACAGGAGAAAATGGGAAGGCAGGACACAGGCAGCCGTGGGATGCAGTTTTCTGGGCCCAGCCTGTCTCAGGACTCAGAAGCTTTACCTGTAGCAGACTCCTCCTATAGATTCATGCCATTATGCAGATACCTCTATTCCAGACTCGCTCATTCAGGGTTACAAAGTCTCATTTTCTTAGCATCTAGCAGCTGGCTTTAGTGTTTCACTTTACATTGAATGATATTCACTGACATCTTTATGGGTTGAAGTTATTTACCAGGTGAACTTATTTCAATGTAATAATGACTCTGTGTGTGTTTCTATGTGTGTACTTTTTGTAGTACTTCAAATACTGAACTGTTGCTTAACCAGAATATTTATTCCCTGCTATCGAACTTGTAATGAAAACCTTCTAAAAAATTTAAACTTGAGGTAAATTGAAAGGACAGTTGTTCTTTCTTGGGTAACATAAGACATTTATTACTTTATACTAATTTTTTCATTCATAAAAAGGACAAAGCACAGTCCTATACTACTCCATTGAAAAAATGATAAAAAATAACTAAAAAATCAATTCAATATTTATCAGTATCAAATAAAACTACTATCACCTTTCCTGAAATACAAAGAAACAACAGATGTATCTATACCTATATAAAGTTTAATTCAGAATCTTGCGTCTTAAAGCAGATGATTATTAGTTAGCTTGACAACAGTTTAAAACTGATGGTCCCAGTTAAATCTGTACAACTGTATGAGAAAATGAAAAGCTTGAGTTATCAGTGTACGAGAGATTTTAAACTACTTTATCTCTGTCAGAAATTCAAAACTAAACAACCTCCAAAGTCTGTTTTCCTCTTACCTTTCAGAACCATTTCATGCAAAATCTAACCAGTTTTGCTCGTTATTATCATATATTAGAAAATAAAAGGCAAGCATGCATTTGGCAAAAGATTTAGTTGTTGATTATATAAAAATGCCCAACATGGGTCACATTGCAAAAGTAAAACCCCAAAGTGTAACAATGAAAACACAAACATTTGTACAGAAGGTATACAGGGTATTCGTTTCCCTAAAGTATGAAGACATTTTGTTTCTTTTTCAAATACTTAAATATTTTATGAAATCTGGCAATGATCTTAAGACTGTTGACATACTTCCACTGGGAAATCATCCATTTCACTTATTTTTAAAAGTTTCATTTTATACCAGAGTTAAATGTAAACTAATGAAATATTTATTGATATTTTCATAATGAAGACTCTAAACATTTACACATCGATATATAGTACAAAAATTATACAAATTAAAGAAAGGGGGTAAAGTCGGTAAAGTAGTAATAGATCTATTTTGCTTCCTGTAAATATTTTTTACGAACCTATACGGTGTCCTTTCTAAAAAGATAAACTCTAATTAGCTAGCAAGTTTGTGCTAATAAAATAGGATTATACCTCTTGAAGCATCCAACACTGCACTATTTCACAAGCCAGCTAATTCTTTATTACTCGATTTCTTTTACATCCACACTCAAACACATTTCCATGCACACCATGGAGAATGAAGAAATGTGCATCTTCCTTTTCACAACTTATAAAAACCCAAAGCACCAACACTTGGGAGACACCATCGGAAAGACATATTATTTGCCTCCTCCTGGCCTTCCAGTTTTGCATACTCTTCAAAGTACCATTAGCAGTATATTGATTTGGTATTTTTAGCCAGTTTTCAGTATTGCATTGAAGTGGGAAATGAGCTTAAAACTAATTATTATTATTATTATTATTGTTATTTTTACAAAATGGAATACGGTAGCTTTTTCAACCTACAGGTGACTTTTTGATCTGACATCTGCAATAAAGAAACGTAATACTTAGGAATGAAGCAGAAAAACCAACATACTAGTAATTGTGATATTCACTTAACTGTCACTTATTCCTAACCATGTAAAGACTGTCACATCTCAATAAAAAAGGAAGCACTCTACTTTTCAAAATTTGTCACTCCACATATGAACAAATATAGCAATATTATGATACTCTAGATAAGAGCTGTGATTTTTGAGATTTGAAATTGATAAGAAAAGCATAAAATAACTTCAGAGTAGAATATAAAAGTAAAAAAAAATCTATATGGTATGTTAACTTTACTATTAAAAAACTGATTCTGAAAATCAAATATTTAGAAAATTATTTCCTTTGAAAATAAGAATACTGATAGTAAGTTCTAGAATTTGGTTTTCAATAGTCAAAATCTTTCAACTCATGATTTGATAATGGGATTTCTGACAAAATATTTGTTACACTCTATTGTCTTTTCAAGAAAACTCAAGATGTCATGAATGATAGGGGCCATTCAATAATATGCAGTACCCAAAACAGTGAGGAAAGTACAAGAGACTGTATTACTCTTACATTTACCACATACAACCAACATTTCAATCTCTATTATATTTCACAACTTGTTATTAAATTTAAAGCACCTGTATATGGTGATTTGACTTTCACTCTACAGCCTATAGTATTGAATTGAACACTGTAACTTGTCCCATTGGGTTAAATCATGCAACTGTCACAGAATCAGGTTAAGTGGTTTATAAGGCATATTGGAACGAGTTAAAAATCATTTATATCCATTTAAAAGTTTATTCTTTTGGATGAAGGGGTTCCCGAATGCCTCAGTCATCATGTGTGTTGTAAATCAGTTGAATAGTTTGTTAAAGTATAATTTATTTGGCTTAGGATGGAGCCGCAGAAATTGGAAGGAATTGTGGTCATCCCAGGGTTGAAGGGTGTCTTCTGAGCTGGGATGGGAACAGCAGCTGTCACAACACATTCAGAATTCCAAGTAGACAAGGATGCCAAAGGCAGGCAGCAGTAAGCCGAGAAGACTTGGGGATAGGGTGGGTGCACCTGCAAGGTAAACCAAAAGTGTGCATATTATTTCATTGATACATGTCACTATTGCTCATTTAGTCTGCTTCAGCTAAGGCGAGATTGCATAGCCCTGGAAAACAAATGGGTCCTTTCACAAAACAGAATCTCTTATTCTTACATGATTTAAGAAAAACAAAAGCTTTTGATCAAAGATTTTCTGTGTGAGACCATGTGAACTGTTTACACAACATGATTAATCATTTAAAATAATATGATCACAAATGTGTATGCTGTCCCTATGATCCAGCAGTCCCAAATTCCTACCAGAAGGCAAAATGTCAAGAAACATATATACATGCATTAAAAAAGTAAGTTTTAAAAATAAGATAAAGTTGTGGGGTGGGGGGAGTGGGGAGGGATAGCATTAGGAGATATACCTAATGCTAAATGACGAGTTAATGGGTGCAGCACACCAACATGGCACTTGTATACATATGTAACAAACCTGCACATTGTGCACATGTACCCTAAAACTTAAAGTATAATAATAATAAAATGTAAAAAAAGAGATACAGTAAAAATACTAATAATTTTTCCTGAAACAATGACAACATAGGTATGCTAGGTAAATCTTGCATAATTTCACATCCCAATGGTTTTAAGACATTTATACATTTATACAGAATGACTTAAGTAATGTATTTCTGATATTAAATAATCTCATTCAATTTTTATCTAAAGAACAATTGCCCTGAGATATTACACTGTGAATTAAAAATTGAAATGATGTATTATAATATGCTATGGACTTAATTTACGTCTTGGGTGACACTTAGAAGGGCTACTCCTGTAGTCAAGTAAGTTTATGGGTCCGTGTCCTGCCGACATGAGAATTTTTGAGAAACTATTGTAAAGTAGGACCAAAAAGTCATACTCTTTCTTCCCAATGTCCACAACTATTAGGCACTATCTTCTTTTTAAATAAATTAATTATTATTTTTTAAGATACAGGGTCTTGTTCTATTGCTCAGGCTGGAGTGCAGTGGTTCAGTCATAGCTGACTGCAGCCTCAAACTCCTGGGCCCATGTGATCCTCCTGCCTCAGTCTCCCAAAGTGCTGGGATTACAGGCATAAGCCACCATGCCTGGCTGGCACTATCTTCAATGAACATGCTGCTAGAATGAGTGAAGACCTAAAAAATTTAGTCAATGGCTTACTAATATAACAGTTTTCATTAATTTTTGGAAGTTTACTCTCTAAATTTGAAACCACCAAATAAATTATTATTATCTATCACATTAAAAGTGACCATAAACAGCTCATTCTTTGGCATGGTCCTTTTATATTCAGGGAGATTTAGTGCATTTCTCCTGAATCTCTGGTCATTAAAAGCACATTCATGTTCCCTATAAGGTGGAAGATAATAGTGTCTGTCTGCTTGCTTGTCTTCAACATTGCCCTGCCTGGGGCTTTTGGAGCTGCCTGGAAACATAAGAGGGAAAGCTTTATCGGATACAGATAAAGTAGTTCTTAGAAATGAGCAGGAAAGTGAGGGTCAAAAGGTGAGGGCAGATAACAAGGGGAATATAAACAGCCCTCAAGTAGCAGAGCTCCTAAGGACACTATCAATAACAATAGTAAACTTATCATTACTTTGAGAGATGCTACTTACTGCCCTACAGCCAGCTACAAGACTATGTTGGCTCATTATGTAGATTATGACATGACTACAACAACCTACAATGGTAGGTCTTTTACCCTAATTTTATATATTTTGTAACTGAGTCAGGTAAAATGAGTTGCTCAAGTCCAATAGTCACTAGAGGGCAGAGAAGGGATTAGAATTCAAATTTGTCCAGCTGCAAAGGCCATGCACTTTTGACCTCTCTGCCGTGTTCTTGCAGGTAGCTTTAGCAAGGGACTGGTTTTAGAAATGCAGAAGGAAACTGCGCTCTGCACTTAATGTATCAAGGCAAGGGCACAGAAGGAAAATAATAAATGTCATATGGAAAAAAGCTAACACATAAACTGTTTCAAAGAGATCTTTGTATTCTTGTAATTTTTTTTATCTTCTACTTTTCTACAAATTTTTTAAAATATGCCACAGACCACACATTATTTTATTCTGATAAGATGCCCAATAATAAACCTCAATCACACAGTAAAACCTTTAAACGTCAATGTTTGACCCAGTGTAAATGATCCATCCTGAAGCCTTTTTTTTTTTATTATACTTTAAGTTTTAGGGTACATGTGCACATTGTGCAGGTTAGTTACATATGTATACATGTGCCATGCTGGTGCGCTGCACCCACTAACTCGTCATCTAGCATTAGGTATATCTCCCAATGCTATCCCTCCCCCCTCCCCCACCCCACCACAGTCCCCAGAGTGTGATATTCCCCTTCCTGTGTCCATGTGATCTCATTGTTCAATTCCCACCTATGAGTGAGAATATGCGGTGTTTGGTTTTTTGTTCTTGTGATAGGAATTGGAAATCATCATTCTGAAGCCTTTTTTGTCTGAGGATGACTGCAGGGTCTCCACAATGCTCTGTCTTTTGACCACAAATTACATCTATCATGGGGACATGTTTATGTACTTGGCTGAATATGTGGGTTGGCAAAGTACAAACTGTGGCTGCTCGAAAGAAATTTAGTGAATTGTGGATGCCATCTTGATGTTTTGGTACTAGTATGAAAACCAAATACAATTTCATAATTTGTGGCTTTGACATCAGGATATTTGAAATAAACTCTCCATGTTTACGTGTGTTATATTTAATTTCTCTAATGGCTCAAGCTTATGTAATTTTGGTCTTCATCTTTACTTCTATCCCACATTCCAAACAGAAATTAGAGACCGAATTGAAGTACTATCTAATGTCATTTTAAATGACATATATTCTTGAGGAGTTTTTCAATATATATTGGTTTTGAATCTAACAACATATATATCAGAATACTGCTATCAATCATAATTCTGGTACTTATGTGTTATATAGTAAACACATATTTTGCTTTTCACATAGCTGATGAATGTTAAACCTGAACAAATCATTGATCTTGTGAATAATTTTTCTCTATCAGAAGAAATGTAAAACCAATTTGGAGTACTATATCTCTTCCATGGGAATTCTTGATTTTTTTTTAAATCTAAACTTTGATTTCATACTTCCTTCAGGGAGAATTCCCGCTATATGGAGAGTGATGCTGAAAACAGACATTTCAATTAAAAGTTGAGCAGTACTGCAGGCTTTCTGATAAGTAGAAAACTGCTCTACTTGGTTTTTAATACAAACTTCCTTTCTGATTCTTCAATCTGGACACTGTGATGCAGTCTTTGTTTCTACTGCTTGCCTATTGCTGACGATGCCATAACATTTAGAATTTTCTCTTTGTGGTGTCACATTTTGTGACCACAACTGCTAATATCTCTATATTATGAACAACTTCAAGACAGAGATGATATCCAAATTATGTTTTAGCTGTGTTGACTAATACCAAGCCTAGTGCATAGAAAGTACTCAACCTATAATGTTAAATGATTGAGTTATGCCTCCATTGTAGGCCCTGAATTTTTTCTTATTACAGAGCACAGGGGGTCTAAGGAAGAAGATGGTTAGAGGAAACCACTGTGACCTTCAGTGTGACCCCTGATATTTCTTTTTATTTTATTCTATATTGCATAATCTCTCTAACTTCTAGGAACCTGGACAAAGAAAGGGGTTATACCTTCCTATGATTACTTTTCCTCAGAAAATAGTTTTTTCCTATTAAAGAGATAATATTAAAAATTCATAATATAATATCAGAAGGCAATGATTTTACTACTCAGTCCAGGAGTCCTCCAACTAGTCCTGGTCCGACATTATTTTTTATTCTTCCGAGGTCTATTAATGGCCCTGGCCATATGGAAGAAAGTGTTTTTATTAGATGGTTGATTCCCCACTGCCTAGAGGTGTGCCTAATATATATGAGGTATATTAGGTACACATGAATGGATGCTTGCGTTGAAAATTGTTGAGTTCAATAAAACTCCTGCTGGGACAGCACGTTTGAGAACTGAAAGAGTAAAAACATCCCTATGATTAGAGTGAAAATCAGCTGAGGCAGAAAAATAACAAAACCTTTATTCAGATTCGTATGACAGACATGGATAATGCCAACTGTAAAGTTCACAGGAAACACTACCAAGATCACAGAGCTGCTGTAGAATGCCATCATGACCTCCTCACCAAGTGGATGGTGCTGTTACCAATGATGCCCCAGCTCTGCTCTTCTTGTCCCACCTATTAGTGGGAATACCCAATTGCTGGACTGCACTCCCCTCATGACAGCCCCAGCTCTAGTTAATTCCTGCTTCTCCTATTCCCACTTCAGAAACAGAACTAATCCAGATCTGACTGCCAGTTTATTTCCACCCTCCTCAGAATTCTTCAGCAGGAACTCAAACCTTACATAAGACACTTCTCCTTCGCACCTGCATGGTATTCCATGATTGCTCTGGTGTGTGTTTCCTTGCTACATCCAGTCAATAACTCTGGCTTTGTCGGACTACAGGTTTCTGTTTGATCTTTGGCTATTTAATTTTAACAGGACAAGCTGGCTAATATGAGTATCAATAAAGCAAGCAATGAGGCCGGGTGCGGTGGCTCACGCCTGTAATCCCAGCACTTTGGGAGGCCCAGGCGGGTGGATCACAAGGTCAGGAGTTCGAGACCATCCTGGCTAACACGGTGAAACCCCGTTTCTACTAAAAATACAAAAAAGTAGCCGGGCTTGGTGGCAGGCACCTATAGTCCCAGCTACTCGGGAGGCTGAGGCAGGAGAATGGCGTGAACCCGGGAGGCAGAGCTTGCAGTGAGCGGAGATGGCGCCACTGCACTCCAGCCCGGGCGACAGAGCGAGACTCCGTCTCAAAAAAATAAAAAAATAAAATAAAGCAAGCAATGAGTGCCTGTCCTAGTAGGAGCCACAAGGATATATTGGGAACAGTATCACATGGCAGCTGAGTCAGACGTTCTGGAAACAGGCAAAGCAAAGTTCAAACTCTACCTCTGCCTTTTACTGGCTGCATAATCTGGGTAATCTTGAGCATGTTCTTTAATTTTTTTAATTTGAAAAAATTAAAAAAAAATTAAACCTTTTTCCTTCAACTATAAAATAGGGATAATAATATGTCTCATGGCATCTATCTATCTATCTATCTATCTATCTATCTAGAGAGGTAGCATAACCTTTCTTCAGAAGTAATTATATGTGGAAATCCATTATTGAACTGGGTGAAAGGGGGATGCTTTACTCAAAGATGGGTTTAAGAGCAGGAAACCACCAGATTTTTGTCTTCTCTATTTTCATGCTGGCACCTGTACTTCCCGCAACTCTATCACCCCATGGAACATGTGGGACTCTGCTTATCACGGTTTGAAAACAACTGCTTTATGTAAAGCATTTCAGAAATGCATGATTAATAGATAACTCCCAGTAAATGGTAGCAATTCCTACTACATTTCATGAAGTTTATTTCTTGTTCTAGACCTGCACTGTATTTCTGGAAAAGTAGTTGGATAAAATAAAGCAAACAATGGCATAAGCTGGGCATACTGAGTTTTTCTGTAAGAGTCTAGCTTCCAGCTCCAGTGTTTGTGTAGCATGGTAGTCAGGGATCTTTGGTTTTAAGAAACAGAACCCCAACCTAACAGCTGATGTTTTACAGGCACACTGGAGCAGATAATTGAATGCCTGCATCTTCCAAGTCTCTGGCTTTCACCTCTTGTTCTTTTACAATTTGCCTCACATTGTTTTTTTTTTTTTTTTTGAGATGGAGTCTCACTCAGTCGCCCAGGCTGCAGTGCAGTGGCGCGATCTCGGCTAACTGAAAGCTCTGCCTCCCGGGTTCACGCCATTCTCCTGCCTCAGCCTCCCGAGTAGCTGGGACTACAGGCGCCCGCCACCATGCCCGGCTAATTTTTGTATTTTTAGTAGAGATGGGGTTTCACTGTGCTAGCCAGGATGGTCTCAACTCCTGACCTCGTGATCCGCCCGCCTCGGCTTCCCAAAATGCTGGGATTACAGGCGTGAGCTACCGCGCCCGGCCTGTTGCCTCACATTCTCAGACTGACTTCTCTCAAGAGAGATATGAGCTCCTAGCTCACATCACGTATTCTTAAGAACAAACAGACTGGGCTATCGTTTTACCCCAACACTAATGAAAAATTCTTAAGGAAAGGCTCTGCTTTGCAAACATCAGGTCACACACCTATCCCCAGACCAATAACTGTGGCTGAGTTAGTGGCTTCTTTGATTGAACTAGTTTGGAGAAGCTTTCCATCACTCAACCAATCACTCTGGCCAAGGAAGCAGGGCCATGTAAGAAGATGGTAGCTTTCATTCTTATCTCAGGAGGAACGGTACTTTGCCCAGTGAAAGGGCTGTGTGGATCCAGGAGCAAAAGAGGAGTTCTGGGGCAAAAAAGAGACTACTCTCATCTAAAAAGTGCAAATAAATGCATGTTGAGAATCATCAAAGCAACAGAGGATAATCAGTATCTCCCAAACTTGTTGACCACAGTAACTTTCTATCAAGGACCATCACACAGGAATTATATTCTGCCCATAGCTGTGGAAAAGTACGTTTTCTGGTAAATTTGTGGTAATTGGAAAAACGTGTTTCAGGACTTTGCTCACCTGTATCATTTAAAACCTCTCTAATTTGCCTTTCTCAGCTTTTAGCTATTTTCCCAATTGCTTGAGGCTAATCAACACAAGAAAAGCAAGTGCTCTCTTTAGCTACTGAAGACAACACTTTCAGTGAACTTGTCAGAGTACTGGATCCATTTTTATGAGTAACCACTGGGACGCAGTCAAGGTAGGTGCAGCGTTCGAATTTTTCAGCATTTTTTATCTTATTTATTTGTACAGAAAGGCCTGGTGTGAGTTTGCCACTTTGCAAATTTAGTCACTCATAAGAATTTGTCTGAAAAAATGGTAAATTTATGGTGAAGAGCTTTGTTTTGGACTTAGTCTAATCAGTTGGGAATTTTCTGGGGTTCTTTTACTGGTGGTGTTCCATTCTGCAAATTACTGAATTGTGTTTGTTTCTCCATTGGATTGCTGTCAGAACTAGGTGAGGAAATCAGTTAGGTATTTATTTTATTAAATTTTGTGGCAGAAATATATAAAAACAAACATTAAAAGAAGAAGAGGTATGTTTTACTTTGAGACACTGAAATCTACTTTATTGTATGGTTAATTTTCTGACAATGATAATTTTAAAAAATTCATGCAGTCCCATTTACTTCCTTGAATTAACACTTGGTCAATGTGAAGCTATTGAGGTAAAAACAAATGTTTTAAATGTATTAACTGAGATTTTATGAAATGTCTGAAACAAAGGAATCTTTGAATTATTGCTTGATTCATTTTTAGCATTTCTGTCTCATCTTTGTCTCTTTCTCCTTGCACATTTTCTCTTGCATAATTTTTTTCTTTCCAGGTTTCCATCCTGTCTAAATGTTATCAACAATGCAAGTATAGACTAGAGTTGAGATGTAAAACTTGCAAATCTGTAAGGTAGAAAAGTTGTACTTGCCTGGAAACTAGCATACAATTTTCAGTAACACTGCTGTAATTCAGTGAGGTTACTGTTAACATTTTCTTTGAACTATATATCAAAATTGTTATTTTTATGAATGGTCTAATGTTAACAAAGGAGGTGTCTTTTTAGAAAGTTAGCTGAATTGGCTTCAAACCAGTTTCTTGGGGAAAACGTTAATGTAATTTTCAATTTTAGATTATTATAAGCATTAACTTCATGACTTTGACAAAATAAAGTAATGGATAGTCACACTAATTGGTTTTAAGAGTTTCTAAAGAAGAGACCCAAAGAGAAATCAGAAAATAAAATGGGTTTGATCTTTGAGGTTCAGCAGAATTTTTGCACATTTGATGATTTTTGTTTTTTCCCTAAAATATCTATTTTATGATATTGTCTGTGTATCAGCTTGCTTATTTTGCTTTTGATGATTTTATTTCCCTTTGCCTACTTGAGATAGCAACACTCAAATACTAAGCTAGGTAGAGAAGAAAAAAGACAGCTTAAGACCTACCTCTAGTTCTGTCAATAGCTAGTTATATAACTTTAGCAACAGAGAATATTTGGGCTCAAGACATGGTTCTGATGCTTCTGTGATCTTTGGCTGTTTTACTTCTCAAGGATGTGGATTTTCCTTCTGTAAAATGATAGGGTTTAATGTTATAAGTTTTAAGGTTCCTACTACAGCCCTGAGTCTGTAATTCTAGGCAAACCATAATATATTTGAGAATATCAAGCATTGAGCCATAAAATTTGCAAACATATTTGTTACATTTTCCCTTATTTATGCTAATCAAAGTTGATATTAGTTTATAAATATACATTAAGTGCTTGATCATCTAAGTGCTAGTGGCTTCGGTGGGTTTTTCCATCCAGTGAAGCCCACTAATCTTTCTGCTCCTATTCGTTTGGCAATTGTGAACCCAAACCCACATGCCAAGCAAAATAGATCTTTGTTTGTTTGGCAGAGGTACATGGTTTTCTGGCAGCTTATCCTGGCAGTTGTATTTGTTCCTTACTGTTGACTCTGGCCCTTTCCCTGTCAGAAAACACCAGATCACCAGGATGCATTTCCTCTTTGAGAAAGGAGTGAGCATTTCCAATAGAGTGATGACCAGTTGATTTGCTGGGAAATATAAAAGCAACTTCTAGCTTTTATAAGAAGCTGGCCAATAAGCACATGCTCAACAAGCCCAATTTTGATATTTTGGGGCAAGGTGAGACCATAATTATGAGGACTTTTAAAACTGGCTTACCTACTTCTTTAGAAATGCAAGGTGACATTTACACAAAAGCATGAGACTTGAGGTGAGACAATTCTATCTGCATACTGTTACCACTCACTTGAGTGTGTGGCCTCTCATAAGGTACTAAATCTCTCTGTGCTCCATTTACTTATTTGTAAAATTGGGAGTCTAATACTTACATAATGGGGTTAAAATGCAAAGTAAAAACCATCTATGAATTGTGAATTTGCAATATTAAATGTAGTTCATTCATTTAAAAAGATATTTGATTTTTTAGTGAGTATTTAGTGAGAACATACTCAGTCTGGAATAAGACAGAAGAGACTCAGACCTTGGTATCTGGGTTCTGTTCTATAGAATACATAGAATTATGTATAATGGGTTTCATGGGTTTGTTTTATTCCCAACGTATACAAAATATTTTATAAATAACATTCAAGTTTTTAATTTGTGATTAATTAACCAACAACCAGAGCCAGTTTATTAGGTAATCTGTGCACTTGGCTTTGGAAATAGCTATTTGACAGAATGTTCTCACATTTACAGCCCCAACTTTGTGAAATACACTGAGTTATCACCAGGAGTAACTTTTCTCAGCCTCAATCAAAGTTAGAAAGACTGGCAACTTCAAATGCCCATTCCATTTTGCCATACTTATAAAAACAAGTGCTAAATTATTCCTTCCACTGCCTCTACCTTGCCTTCTCCAAATTAGTTTTTGAGGCAAAGAGACAAGTAGAACCAGAGAGAAAGTTTGAAAATTTACATGTTCCACTATGCCAAGGTTAATGGTTCCTCTTCAGTGCAAGTCTTGAAGGACCAGTTGAGCACTGTGACTAGGACTTCTTGGACATTTTCAACAGATACATGGCCCTGTGGGTTTATTTACATACAAAGAAAGACTGTCCCTTGCAATCATCCCCCACCACAAAAATTGCTCGTTCTATTGCTTTGCTTCTCTTTTTTTGTGGAGACTGGCTGGTGTTTGTGGGTATTGACAATAAAGAGAAAGAGTGAAACTAACTGGCCATGAGACTCAATTTTCCTTAAAATTATTTCATTTATTCATAAGATTCTGGACAGCCTGATCCATAATATGTCATTAACAAATATCTGTTCATTTTTTTTTTCCGACAAACTCACTCAGTTGCCTGAGTGAGTGCAAAGATGCGATCACAGCTCACCAAAGCCTTTACTTCCCAGGCTCAAGTGATCCTCTCACTTCAGCCTTCTGAGTAGATGGGATTAGAGACATGCATGACCATTCCCAGCTAAGTTTTTATATTTTTCGTAGATATAGGGTCTCACAATGTTGCCCAGGCTGGTCTGGAACTCCTGGATTCAAGCAATCCTCTCACCTCGACCCTGCAAAGTACTCGGATTACAGGCTCAGGCCACTGCACTTGGCCTGTTCAATGGATTTTTTAATTCTTTTAAACCACTTAGTAAGTGCCTAATTTGTCTAGGACACATTACAACATTTATTTTACTAAATTCTTATAAGATACAGTTAAAGTATGTATCATTATTTGTATTTACAGATTAGGGACCTAGGGCTTATATTTACATACCTAAAAGACAGTAAACTTAGGTATTGAACATAAACCAGAATCTAAGCCCAGTACTATTTCCTCTACATCCTGGCTGCTTCATAAACATCTTTAAACATTACTAGAGAATGCAGTGATGCCGCCTTCCTTAATGTAATGAGTTGAGAGTTGAAAATGACTAGAGGTTTCTAAAAGCCTCAATAGCAATGACAGCCAATAATCCCATTCTCTCACTGGTTTCAAATGGTGATGCAGAGACAGAACTACCCTGGAAACTTTCTCAGGATAAAACTGGGGCAAAAAGTTCTGTTGGTCTTCAGTCATCTTTGGCTTTGAGGCTATGACAAATGAGTGATTCACCTGTTTGAGGCTGTATTTTGGTATTTGGTATTAAGATCGGTATTTGGTATTAAGGGCATTAAGATTTGGTATTTGGTATTAAGATTTTTCTCCTAGTGTATTGGTATTTGGTATTTGCTATTAAGATTTTTCTTCTTTTTATGACCTTGAATTCATTTGTTTGTTAGATCTTGGGACCTTATTTCACAATTCAGTGTCATCCATCTATCAAAAAGGATTAATTGGTGTCTCTCTGTTTTGCTATATGCACATGAAGTTCTTATAAGAAATTGTCCAAATTCATTGAATCACTGAAACTATTAAGAGGATCATAACAAGCTGAATCTTCTCTTTGTACTTTCACAGCAGAAATAATTTTTCAGCTATTTTAACTATAGTCTGAAGTGTGTAAGGAGTCACTGGCTAGAATTGGACATTGACTAGTCTAAAAAATTTCTAAGAGATTGTGCTTGTTCAGTTTCTCAACCTGAAGATATAAAATAATTCTAATCACCTTGGATTGTATCTGCACAGAATTTCCTTGGTTCTGTTTATATATTTTTCAGACTTCCTTCTTTTCTGAAAAGGCTCATCCTTAGTCATAGTTTCATGGTGTTAAACCTTGAAATTTTAAGTTCTTTTCAAATTCTTTTTAAGTTAAAAAAAGGGGAAAAAAAGATTAACTTTCATCACTTTTGCAGGAGTTTATTTATAAAATCAGCAGAGTAGTTACTTCTTTCTAACCATTTGGAATTCTGGGAAATTCTTTAAGAAACCATTTTGTTTACATTGAACAAATCAAATTCCCACAAGTGAATGGAACTGAAATTCCTTCAATACCAGCATTTCTATCAGTATTGCCAGGCTTCTTTTATTCATTCCATCATACAATTTTTGGTTATTATTGCTTTTTCTCTTTTCAAGACTTGTGTCTTATTATACTCATTTATCTTGACAGTGGAAACAGGGACTTTTAGGTGTTTGTCAATGATGATATAGTAACATGTATGAAGTAATTCATAATGAATTTTCTAGGTGTTGAGAGAAATGTTAGGAAACCTAAAAAGAAGCTTGGGAGCATTGACTCATTTTGGATTTACTATGTCTTACCTGGATTGTTTTATCTCTTGTTCACTTTACCTGTTTTTCCATGTTGAGGTTCTTGCGTTTGTCACAGGACCACTTCTCTCTCCCTCTATACTCCCTATTCCTGCCACTACTCCTATAAAAATTGTCCATCCTCCTGCACTACTTAGTTCAGTTCATGAGGTACCATGCACTTAATTATTCATAATAGAAAATGCCGTCATTTGCAAAGTGCTTTTTCTTCCTCGCCTGTAATATATCAACTTGGGTGCCAAGTCCAACTGATTTGATCTCCAGTATAGCTCTAGAATCTCTCACGACTCTTCACCTTTATTGCCTGTGCATTAGAAGTTTAGGATCTCATCATCTCATGCTTATGTATAAGAAAAGCAAAATATAAAAATAAAAAAAATCACGCCAAAACGCCAGAAAACAAAAAGCAAAGACCACAAACTTAATCTTCTCCCTTTTCACAGTCTAAATATAACTTATACTCCAATCATACCTCTCTACCTTTATTTCTTAATCTTCCATTCCAAATTCATCAAATAAGATTTAAAATCAAGCAATCAGCCCATCTAAACCAATATCCACTAAAGTGCTTAATTCAGAAATATGAACAGAGTCTTATGTTGATATTGCATATTCTGAGAATTACATTGTTAGCTAGCCATAGGTTGATTTTTTAATACATATCAAAAATATTTCACCGAGCTAAATTAGTTGCACATTAAACTTTAATAATATTTTCCTTGTAAAGGGTCTACTAATGTACATGTGAGATTTTTAAGTGTTATTTATCACCTTTCTTCCTTTTTGTAGTGATCATGGTCTATTTTAAGTTAAGCCTGTGTTTAGAATATAATCTTGGACCAGGAATACATGGCTCTTTCTTTAGAGGAAATAAAATATTATCTAAATATTTATAAATAATATCTAAATATTTATAATAATATTTATAAATATCTAAATATAATAATATAAATATCTAAATATTTATAATATAAATATCTTAATATTTATAAATATCTAAATATAATATTTATAAATATCTAAATATAATATTTATAAATATCTAAATATTTATAATATTTATAAATATCTAAATATTTATAATATTTATAAATATCTAAATATTTATAATATTTATAAATATCATTTATAAATATCTAAATATTTATAATATTTATAAATATCTAAATATTTATAATATTTATAAATATCTAAATATTATAAATATTTATAAATATCTAAATATTATAAATATTTATAAATATCTAAATATAATATTTATAAATATCCAAATATTTATAATATAATAAATTATGATCTAAATGTTATATTTAGATAATACTTTAATTGGACTATATAATTGGTGCTTTAAATATGTTAGTTTTAACTGAGTCAGATGAATTTTCCACTTGTACGGATGGAGTCTAGAAGATTAAAAGAAAGTAATCTGAGTTTATTTAATTTTTTCCTCCTCCAAGAATCATGTGGATTCTGTCTGTTTAGATAATGGCAGAAGCTATGTCAGGTCCTCTCCCAAATAGTTAACAAAATTTGGTTTGGAGTTGGAGTGCTAGAAATTTTAGCTGTGCCTATCTGGCATTCACTATTTATTCTGCAATATAGTAGTTACTTATAGAATGACCTGTGTATTTCTGGGTATCTCTGTTTCTCTTCTCTTGTTGCTATGTCATGTCCCAATATCAGGTTCTTGCTAAAAATTGCCATATGGAACTAATCCCATCCTAACATAGTATACAGATTAAGAGCACATGCTTTAGTGTTAGAACTAAATCATTTGAATTCTGGCTCCTAGCTTAACCAGCTGTAGGACTTTGGACAAGTTACATAAACTCTCTGAATTTCAGTGACTTCATCAGTAAAATGGTGATAGTAACAATTAGCTAATTGTGTTATTTTAACAAAGATACAGAGTGCATTGCTATTATAAATAAATATTTCATGATTGGTGGCTCTTTGTATTATTATAGCTGGAAAATTATTTTCTAACCTACTTTGTTTGTTGAAAAATGAGTGCCAATTGTCTGTGGTCTCTGCAGGCCACATTCCAAAGATTTCTGGTAATGGACTCAGGAAAGAAGTATCTGGCCAGGCCCAGACTAAAGGGCATTAGAAGGTATTTAGGATTTAGGGTACCACTTAATCCAAGCCGGGAGGAATCAGGGCTCTTCTGACTACAACTTAACTACTCTGCATCTCCAAGGTTGTGCAAACTCAAAAGAAGATCTAGGTACTGAGGTACCCGTGCTTCTTCAAAGTAAGAGCAAATCCGTGGCTGTAATGTCCCTGTGTGGGAAGCTGAGAGGGAAGAGAGAGGAAGTCACTGCTGAGAAAGGTACATTGACATGATCCAACTTATAGATAAAGATGCTAGTTGTTTTAACTAAGTGGGCAGGAACCATCTAAATGTGATTAAAATGTGAGTTTCTATCCAAGTCATTTTTCTTTCTTTAGGATTGCTTCTCAGTTTTAATATAACAGGAAAAAACTTAACTGCCAAACCTCCATTCATGAATTTCAATTTAATAAGAACCCACTACTTCTGTGGTCAGTACTGGGTGCAGAAATGGCCTTTCTTCTTCTCAAGAGATCTTGGTTGAATGATAGTAAACCACAACTGTAGTACGGTGTGGTAAACACAATTGCACTTAGAATGCCAAAGATATGAGGGGAGCAAAAAGGAGGGTACTTCCAGGTGGCAGCAGAAAAGGGGTTTCCTGGAGGAGGAGGAAAACACACTAAGGAAGAAGAGATGGGGCAAAATATATGAATGGGTTTTAGAAACACCCACTGTCGTGATGATAACAAAATATTTACCAAGAAATGCATTGTGAAAAAGGGAGAAGCTAGTGAAAGTTATCCTGGATATTCACAAAAAGTAAACTCTTATTCTAAGCCACTGCTTATAATACTCTAAATTAATGTAAAGTTATAGTTGATCCTCTCATGTATATTAATTTCCATTTCATTAATTCATAGACCAATCCAAGATAATAAAAAAAATAATTCCCTTAAAACTTCAACATATTTTATCATCGTCTAGGACATTAATTTTATAGAAGGCAAATACATATTCTATTAGACTATATTTCAAACACAGTTGTGCAAATGTCAGAGAAGTTATTAACCTAGAAGAAAACCAAAACAAAAATATTTGCTACTTGGAATGATGCCTAATCTTCAGTTTTAAAACTTGCAATGTTGGATTTCGTCTAATTAAAAATGGCTGACGATAAACCACAAATGACATACTGTTCATTGACCATGCAGCAGAGCTGTGTAGAAAATATATTAAATGATTGAAACAATATTTTAAAATTAACACATATAAATGAAAATTCATCAAATTTGCAAAAATATATTGCATGACTTGACATTCTCTAAATCACATAAGTACATTCAAGTACATCTAATAACTAGAGAATGAGTTCTTTAAATGTGACATGGCAACTGATAGTGTAATTTAAAGACATTATTCTATGTGAAGTACCTTATTTGTGTGCTAGCTTACAGAATGTATTAGTAACTGCTGAAGATCAATAAAATAATTGAGCAACTGCTATGTTCTGTGATAAGTGCTTTGGTTTATATTATCAATAGGTTAATTATAAAGATAGGAAACTTGTTTATGTTTAAAATGAGGAGAGAATTACCATTTCTCTCTTTGCTAAAGCAGATACTCTAATCATATTTTCACCATGATTTTTCATCTTGTGTATAACTAACCTTGCCTCATACATGTTATGTTCCATGAAAAATAGGTAAGATATTAGGCATTGACAACAATATCTACTTAATTTGTAGAAAAATGTTTATAGTCAAATATGTTCTAGGAAATATGTATAATACTATGTTTACTAGTGCCTGTAATATAGTTGCCTTATTTTTTCCCAATATCGATGCTATAACTCCTAGCAAAATTTATTACTAATTTTATCATTCTCAAATTTTAGAAAAATAAATCTTATACCAGAAAGGATAGTATAGAGACTTTAAGGCACTATATAGTCCTAAATAATCAAGTAGCAATAAGAAAGCATACTCATTTTCACTTTAATTTGAGAATAATATAACTTCTCTTTCTTTGAGGAAAGGGAATTAGCCTCTAAAATTCAGATATAAAATGTTTCCTTTTATATTTATTTTATCTGGCTTATAGAATATTGATTAGTGTTTTACAAGTTTCCATGAACACAATTAAGAGCTGGCATACAATATATATTTTTAAAGAATGAAAGAACAAGAAGACAATAGAGTTTTGGGGACTTTTGCCTTAGTGGTACACTGTATTTATTTTAAAAATGGGTAAAAAAGGATTAAAAAGTCAGAGTAAGAAAATGCTAAGTTAAATAATTCTTTATTCCTTTAACTGAATCCAAAGTTCAACAAGTATAATAATAAATATGAGCTAGCATTATATTATTTGTAATGACATTTAAATATATGTTAGTTATTTTAAAATCTGTTAAAGATTAGTTAAAAGTTCTTGATGACGACAGTTTTCAGTCCCAGGAGCAAAAGCAAAAAGAATAACATGTGGCTGCAGAGAGCTACAAAAGATATGTTCAAACATCTAAATCATCAATATAAAGGGCAACATAATTAACAAAATTACAAAATAACAAGAGTTTCCAGGAATAAGCCACCTTATAAAGAACTGACACTGCATTATTGGCAAATATATATATATATATATATATATATATATATATATATATTTAGTGAAAACATGAAAGAGACAAAATCTAAATAAATTTTGTCTGTGAACTACTTTTTCCTCTACATCAAATTCATTTTGGGTATCATATATCCATGGCAGTGTATTTATATGTTTAGAAGTTTAGTCAGCCATTCATAGTGACTCTATAAAAAGAAAGAATGTCTTTTTATTTATAAAAACCAAGGCTTTCTAAAAATAAACTCAGACTATATAATGTCACGAAAGCACTTGGGATACTTGAAAGAATGTAAGAATTATGAAGACTATATTTTTCAAATGTGATGGCATCATTATTTTTTCTACTTCAAATATTTCTCTATCAAATTGGTTTGCTTTATATTTTAGACTTCTGCTTGGATTATAATATCTATGTAGTCTTAGGATCACACATGCCAGTTCTCTATTTTCTAAGCACATTTATTTTACTAAATATGTAAGTGCTTTTTAATTCATTTTTCTTCTTGTGTCCATTTTATTTTAAGAATTTTCTCTTTAGATTTTATTGGCTCTCACATTTTAGATGCATTCTTTATAACTTTAAATAATATTTCAAGAATTCTTTTTGGCTTAAATTTAATTATAAAGCATATACTGGAAATCCGATTCATGTTTTGTAGTTCTTGAGGATAAATAAATGTTCTTAAGACATTTACTATTGAAGTCTTCCAGATATTGTAATCCAACAGTATTTATCTAGAGAACTTTTTTTGCTAGTTAAATTGAAAAAACAAACACTGAGTCAAAATGGTTTGCCAGGTTCTTTGGGGGATAAAATATAAATATTTACTTATAAGTTATAGGCTACTTCATTCTAAAAAGACTTTCTGATAGTTTACAAAGATAGATAAAGTATGATAAAGAAAACAAATAAGAAAATTGAGAGGAAAAAAGATAAAGTTAGGAAACATGATACAAAATAAGAGGTAATACCAAAATAGCAGCAACATCAACTAAAGCTAGTACAAATATTGCTAATATTTATTGTGTCTGTGTTGTTCCAGGCACTTTTTAAAGCCACTGCATATATATTCAGACATTTTAAAGTAAAATATACAATACTTTATATATTTTGCTATAGGCATGTAGCAGATTTGGCTCTGAGCTTTGGCCATGCAGTGCAAACACGGAAATACATCAGCCATTGAGTTTCCAATGTCTTTATCCAAAAGATAAAAACAAGTAATGTCTCAGGAAGAGCTTATCTACTTCTGGTCTTAAGACCAGAGACAAAGTTTATGGAACAGTCTAGTTGGGCAGATATCCGGGATATAAACTGTACTGGATGCCAACACAGTACTAGAAATACAAGAAATTGGGAAAGCATATTTATCACAGTATTCTACCCCCACAGTTCTCTACTGAAGGAAGATGCTGATAAGCTATTTAGAGTGTGTGTGTGTGGAGAGTGAGTCTGCTATTTAATACATTCCAATAAGTAATATCTACACTGCTCACAGAGAATGGATTATTTAACTGTAGGTTTCTTTGTGTGTGTGTGTGTGTGTGTGTGTGTGTGTGTGTGTGTGTGTGTGTTTGTGTGGGGTGGATGTTAGGAGATGAACTGTTCCAGAGTTTAGACAGAAGTGATCCTCCTTGCATTCTTCCTCTTACAAGATCTCATCTTCTCCATTAAATACATAGTATGCAGGAATTTCAAGACTAATTTAATGTTAATATTAAATTATTTTATTTAGACATTAAATATTTATTTATTGGCCTAGACCAGGGTGCTCACTTCTATAGGTTCACCCCTACCTGAGAGAACTTTCATTCACAGTTCCTTAAAAAGAGGACATTTTTGTATGTGTTTTATAGAAATATATCCTCAACAATTGTAGAATAATATAATAGTAGATTTTGTGTATTTTTTTTGGTTTTGTTTCTCTACTTTATTTTTAATTGCCCTCAGTCTAAGCCAATAGCATAAGACTAAAGTACAATTCAATACAAAATTAATTATATAAGATCACAAAACAGGCTGGGTGCGGTGGCTCACACCTGTAATCCCAGCACTTTGGGAGGCCGAGGTGGGTGGATCACGAGGTCAGGAGATCGAAACCATCCTGGCTAACACGGTGAAATGCTGTCTCTACTAAAAAATAAAAAAAAAAATTATCTGGGCATGGTGGCGGGCACCTGTAGTCCCAGCTACTTGGGAGGCTGAGGCAGGAGAATGGCGTGAACCTGGGAGGCAGAGCTTGCAGTGAGCCGAGATCTCACCACTGCACTCCAGCCTGGGTGACAGAGCAAGACTCCGTCTCAAAAAAAAAAAAAAAAAAAAGATCACAAAGCAATATGTTCTAAAAACACAGCTCACTGAAGGTTTGGACTGATTGATTCATAGAATTTACTGTGTCTCCAGGGAGTGGAATGAGTGAGAATCTCCACCGAGCATGCATTCTCAATAGGGCCAACATGGCCTCCAACTAAGTGAAAGTTGGTTCTTGTGGGGTGGGAAAATCTGAAATCTCATAATAGTTTTGGATCTCTAAAGGGCCACATAACATAAACAGCTATACAGTAGATTTTTGGTATTAAAATTTCATAAGTGGTAACACTTGGAAAAATAATATGTAACGAGGCTTCCTAGGGAGGCAATAATGAAGAAAGTTTGAGAAATGCTGATATAGAGTGTTGTCTTTCCCACTCATACTTCCGGTTATAATTGGGTGGCAAAGGTTTAAGATATATAAAAACAGGTTTAATTTATTCATTTATGGCTCATATCAAAGGTAGACACCATTATTCTCATTTATGCAAAAAGAGAACATACCTATGTTAAATAATCAAGGCATATGATAATGGTTTGGCTGTGTCCCCACCCAAGTCTCAGATTGAACTGTAATCCCCAGTGTTGGGGGAGGGACCTGGTGGAAGGTGATTGGATCATGGGGATGAATGTCTCCCTTGCTGTTCTTGTGATAGTGAGTGAGTTCTCATGAGACCTGGTTGTTTAAAAGTGTGTAGCACTTCCCCCTTCTCTCTTTCTTGCCACTGTGTGCAAATGTGCTTGCTTCCCCTTTACCCTTCTGCCATGATTATAAGTTTCCTGAGGCCTTCCCAGCCATGCTTCCTGCACAGCCTGTGAAACTGTGAGTCAATTAAACCTCTTTTCTTTATAAATTACCCAGTTTCAGGTAGTTCTTTATAGCAGTATGAGAATGGACTAATGCAACATATAAATAATAAAAACATACATAAATTTATAATAATATTATAGACATCTTGACTGGGTGCAGTGGCTCTCACCTGTAATCCCAGCACTTTGGGAGGCCGAGGCAGGCGGATCACCTGAGGTCAGGAGTTCAAGACCAGCCTGGCCAACATGGCAAAACCCTGTCTCTACTAAAAGTACAAAAATTAGCTGGGCCTAGTGGCATGCACCTGTAATCCCAGCTACTTGGGAGGCTGAGACAGGATAACTGCCTGAACCTGGGAGGTGGAGGTTGCAGTAAGCCGAGATTGTGCTACTCTGCACTCCAGACTGGGTGATAGAGCAAGACTCCATCTCAAAACAAAAAAATTACAGACATCTTAATTAGTTAAATCAAATTTTGCAGGACATTGGGAAATAAAATAAACAGGCTTATGTTTTCCAGAAACTGGTTTATATGTCATGAGCTGGGGAGTTAATGGTAGTGACCCAGATTGGCAGAGATCAGGCAAAATACAAATATGAATATGATCTAGTCCCCTTCTCAGATAGGAAGCCATTAAAGGTTTTTGTGCAGAGACATGAGAAGAGCTGACATATTTTAAAATAATCACTGTGGTCATTATATTAAGAATGAATTGTAGGTGTTAAGCACCAAGCGAAGAGCACAATTAGATGGTTAGTGCAACAATCCTGGAGACAAGGCACAGTGACTGGACCCTATGATGGTAGCAGCAGAGGTGGATGTTTCTCAATACATTTATTTTAGTGGTAAAACCAACAGGATTTCTTGATGAAATGAATGTGGTGTGTTAAAGAAAATGATGCCAAAAATTACTTCAAAGAAGATTGGAGATACTTTATTGAGATGGGTAAAACTGCAGAAAAAGCAAACAAAGGGAGATGGGGAAGAGTTTAAATTAGATGTCTGAATGGAGATAGCAATCAGGCAGCTGAATAAATCAGAGAAGACTGACATTTGATTGTTTTCTACAAATACATGTCATGCACTTAAAGCCTCGAGACTGCATGAGATTACCTAAGGGCTAAGAGGAAAAGAATTACTGACGTACTGAGTCCTGGGAGACTTTAAAGTTCAAAGGTTGGAATGATTACCAGAAACCAGAAAAGGAGACTGAGAATGGCAGCTCTTAAGGGGAAAAGAAAAATCAAAACAGACTGGTGCCCAGAAAGCCAAGAAAGAGAAAGTGGCCATATGCATCAGTGCTGCTGAGAGCTTGAGTAAGGAGAGGACTACTCCTAAATTAGAAACATGGAGGTCATTAGCAACCTCGACAAGAGCTGTTTTGACAGGGTGTTGTGGTGAAAATCTGATTGGAACAAATTTAAGATAGAATTTTGGAAGAGGAATTAGGTGGTGAAGATGATAAATTATTTGTTGAATTTTACTCCAAAGAAGATAATAGAACATGCGTTAGTTACTGGAAGAGATTTTCTTTTTTTGTTTTTCTTCGTTCCTTCCTTCCTTCCTTCTCTTTCTCTCCTTCTTCTCTTTCTCTCCTTCCTTCCCTCTTTCCTTCCTTCATTTTTTTCCTTCTTCTTTCTTTCAATTGTTGCTCTGTTTTGTTTTGTCTTATTTGTATTTTCCCCCCTTAAAAGTGGGCAATATTGCAGAATACTTGTATGGTGATGAGAAAAATCAAATAGAAAAAAAGAAATATAATGATGTAGAAGAGGAAGGAAAGGGTAGTTGAAGCAATATTCTTGAATTAACGAGAGGTGTTAGAATCTGGCTTCCATGTGGAGGGGTGTCCTTAGGAACATAGAACATTCAGCCAGGATCTTAGAAAGAAAGGCAGGTCACATGGGCGTATGTGTAGGTGTCGACTGCTTCAGATTGCTTTTATTTCTCAGAGAAATAGGAAGCAAGGTCATTGACTAAAGAGAGAAGATGGTAAAGATGTGTTAGAAATTAAAGGAAAGAAAAAAAGAAGGTGTGAAATAGGTTTCTAGGTGAAAGAAAGAGTGGATGTGCTAGGAAAATCTAGTGGAATGGCCCAGCAGCACTATGGGCCCACTTGAAGTTTTGTGGTCATGAATTCAAGGTGAAACCAGTGTTCGTGTTGGCATTCTTCTCTGGCCACCTTTAGCCATGAAAGTGTAGGCTTGGAGCAAGTAGTGAGTTAAATTTAATCCACTCCTTTAGCCAAGTGAGTATGGTGAAGTTAGAGTAGCAAAAGGGAACTTCTGGGTGGAATGGGTGGTCTATGCAAGGGAATAATTATATTATATGGCTGTGGGATTTAAGCTGGATATGGAAAGAGTGAGGATACAAGGAAGGTAAGGGACACAGACAGTGGTCAGATCAATGGCTTGTCCTTCCTGATAGGTCAAAAACTTTTGGGAGTCTGAGTACCAGAGGTAAGAGTAAAGATAGGAAGTGGGCAGAGGATAGGATGTTTGAGATTATGTAGATAGTAATGAAAAGGGCTAGGGTAGAACCGTGGGAAGAACATCAATAAGAGAAAGAAATGGAGAGGACAGAGTAATGCAAAAATCATTTATGCCTACATTGTATCACTAGAACTTATGAAAGAAGTATAAAAGAGAATGGCATTCTCTCCAATGTCATTTGGAAAGAATGAAAATTATCTGAAAAGTAAAGTCTCCATGGAATGAGTAAGAGTGGCCCTAGAGGCTAGTAGAAAACTTGGACAAGAAGGGGAAATGGGTGGGAGAGGGTGATGGTATGATTCCAAGCAGAGCTTTTTAGGCAAGAGAGAAAGAGAATACTGTAGAAGTGACAAAAAGGAAGGTCAACTACCCTCCACCAGGTGCAGCCTTCAAGGGGTATGAGAGAGAACCACCACTTTTGAATAGACTGCAGAAGGAGCAATGTCATCAGGGAGAGCAAGACTTCAGATAAAGTTAAAAGGTGAAGGAAGCACTCAGTGAGTAGATGGAAGTTACAGAAGACTCTACTGATAACTGATGGTGAGTTTTAGAGGGAACAGTGGGAAGGTTTTAAGAGTAAAGTATGAATAGAGATGTCAGAAAATGGGCACCTGGATCCGTGTTAATCAGAGACTCCTGGGTTTCTGTAGGTGACTGTCATAAACAAGGCTGAAGGGCATGAACAGATTATATCTCAGAGTCTCTAGGTATGTGGTGCTGGTGAGAGGGTGAATGTTGGGGATGGGAATGCAAGGGGGATGGGAATGCAAAGGGGAGATCTTGGTAGGGGCATATGGCTTCTGCCTTCTGCCTGGATGTGGACACATAAAATGTGAACAGTTATATTTAATATGAGTTTGGGTTTGGCCAAGTGAGAAGCATAAAGAGGGAAAGGGACAAGGTATATAGGGCAGTTGTTTTCAATATGAACCGTGGAATCTGAGCTGACATTCAAGGCAGGAGCTGAGGACATGAGGATGAATGAAGGACAAAAAAAAAAAAAAAAAAAAGAAATAAGCAATAAGATCACTGGTAGTCTGGGTAGGGGAAAGTAGAAGAACTGCTGGAGTTGGGAGGAGATTTAAGGAAATAAACTAGAAAAAGAAGAATCAGTGGTCAGAGAACACAGTATTTAAAATCAAAATTAAAGAAAAAAATTTGCAGTTATTAGTAATATTAAGATTTACAGGGGTTCTTAAACTTTTTGGTGTCATGGACCCGTTTAGTGGTCTGTGGATTTCTGAAAATACTGAGAATAATGCTCTTATTACATGCATAAAATATAATACATAGAGTTTTTTAAAAACCTATTGTATTGAAATTCATTTATAAAAGTATCAAGAAACCAAATGTAAGTTACTAACACATTCAAATAGTATGCTTATTAACACATTAAATAACAGGATCTAGGAGCAGATTTAAGAAATGTATTATTGAAGTAATACTTCAACAGCTGAAATATATGAGAATATGTTTGATTGTTATTGGTGACAGAGTAATATGTGACCTAAATTCATATATTTTAAAATGCCAAATTTCAGTTAGAAATTCATGAAAATTATAATGTAATTTTTTACCATCCAAGTTTCAGAAATCCCTCAAATTCAAATTCACACTGAAATCTGTGAATTCCTGTTTCGGTTGTGATCATGAGTGGGTGGCTGAGGCAGGACACAGGACAAGATCATCAGAAAAGAAAAGTTAGATAAATTAAGAAGCTATGGCATTGGATGAATCATCTACATGGATGTTGATATCCTAAAGATTCACAACTTTCAGGCACATCAGAATTCTAAGGCATCTCTATGGGCTAAGGGACTTGAGGAGTTAGTCTCTGTACTCTGCCACACCCTCGACTCTTCCTGCATTTTCTGTAACCTTCAATAACCTTCACTCTTCTTACTTCTCCTGGCCATGTGACCCAAGACTGATTATTTGCTTTTGAGCCCATTTTTAAGAAAAAGAAGTGAGAGTCAAGTATGCAGGCCCTAAAATGGAAGGTTATAGAAGAAGGACTACTGGCTGGATAATCTCATACTCTTGAAATTGTTCTAAATTATTTATTTTGTTTTGGTCTGGATGATTTTGCAGAATGTGTCTATAAAAACTGCCTCTGGAATGTCCTTTGCACTGCTCTCATACTGTGAAGAATCTACCAAGAGGCCTGGCTTCTAGCCTTACCCAACTATGGGAATTACTTTGAGACCTAAATGCTCCTTCATAAATCACTAAAGCTGGTCCCTAATGTAGTATCGAATGGACCATTTTAATATGTTGACATATCACTTTCCAGTTTAAGCATTTTATATTCCCTCTTACTATGGCATTAAAGGCTTCCAGTAATATTTATGAGAAATTTCAAGGGTTTTATTTTTAAAAATCACAAAGTCACTTTCCTTTCTAAATGGTTTTCAAATTTATGTTATAGTGAATAAGTGTCAAACCTCAGGAGAGAAAATTTAAAACCCAACTCCCTTTCTCAGAACAGACAATTGTTTTTATATTTTCCTAAGAGGGTTACAAATTTCAACACAGCCTATAATGTTTCAAAGGAAAGTGAATTTTGAAGTCTTGTTCTGATGGTTGATGCATATATCTATTAAAGATAATCTGATTGTTTTAATTAACTTTTGTGTTGCTCTTATTTCAGAAGAGAAGGTAAAGTAATATCCTATGATTTGGGGCGGGGGTAGGTGTATCTTAGTTCATCCTTAGGAACAGGATGTTTTCAATCCACTTGAGTGTAAAGAATAGATATCTTAATGTAACTTTTTATGTCATTAGTAAATCAACATTCATAGAAAAATACAAAATTAGGCTTACCAATAATTAAAATTCTTCATATAAATCATTGTAAAAGATTATCCATTTTCTCATGAATAATTTATTCATGCATATATCATAAATTGGTTGAAACTTTACAACGAAGTTTCTCAAACCTTGGTGTTATACTTACAGGTAAGAGAAACACATTACTTTTTAGTAAAATTAAAATTTTGCTAATACCCAATACTCAGAAAAATGAAATCATCTTTGAATAAAGGTATCTCCCTTAGGACTATTGGTTCATTCTCCGAAAATTCTTCACTATAATTACATTCTCCAAAAATGATTAATTTCTTTAATTTCTGACGTCCTTTTCCAAAGCACTCACTATATATGGGAGTTCCTCCTCATGCTAGATTCCAATTTTAGTTCCTTCAGCAATATTCTTTCCAGATTCTACCCTCCCAGTATAACATTCTAAATTTAGAACACATCACCAAATGCAGTTATTTGAGGTGAAGGATTTGCCTCATAGATTTCAAAATTGTGGAATAACTAATCTAAAATATAAAACAAAACAAAAACATTTACAATTTTTATGTCATTAATGATGTAAACCAATCCTTAAATATTCCTCTCTACTTGACTACTTAAATGTTATTTAACAGTGATAGAGCCAAATAATATATTTTTAAAGGATAAACCTGTGTTTACTGACTTTGTTTGCACCAGAATTCTTACAACTCAACTTATTGACATAATCCTTGGCAATTTACCCAGCATCATAAATTGTTTTAATCTCAGTATCCATCTTGTCAGCAATTTCTGTTTCTTGAATCCAAAACAATCCTGCATTTTGAAGCTAACATCCTAGCCTTTCTGTAAATTTCCATTACTCTTTCTCTGAATTTTTTATTTTATTTTTTTATTTATTTTATTATTATTATACTTTAAGTTTTAGGGTACATGTGCACAATGTGCAGGTTAGTTACATATATATACATGTGCCATGCTGTTGTGCTGCACCCATTAACTCGTCATTTAGCATTAGGTATATCTCCTAATGCTATCCCACCCCCCTCCCCCCACCCCACAACAGTCCCCAGAGTGTGATGTTCCCCTTCCTGTGTCCATGTGTTCTCATTGTTCAATTCCCACCTATGAGTGAGAACATGCGGTGTTTGGTTTTTTGTCCTTGCGATAGTTTACTGAGAATGATGATTTCCAATTTCATCCATGTCCCTACAAAGGACATGAACTCATCATTTTTTATGGCTGCATAGTATTCCATGGTGTATATGTGCCACATTTTCTTAATCCAGTCTATCATTGTTGGACATTTGGGTTGGTTCCAAGTCTTTGCTATTGGGAATAGTGCCTCTATAAACATACGTGTGCATGTGTCTTTATAGCAGCATGATTTAAAGTCCTTTGGGTATATACCCAGTAATGGGATGGCTGGGTCAAATGGTATTTCTAGTTCTAGACCCCTGAGGAATTGCCACACGGACTTCCACAATGGTTGAACTAGTTTACAGTCCCACCAACAGTGTAAAAGTGTTCCTATTTCTCCATATCCTCTCCAGCACCTGTTGTTTCCTGACTTTTTAATGATCACCATTCTAACTGGTGTAAGATGGTATCTCATTGTGGTTTTCATTTGCATTTCTCTGATGGCCAGTGATGATGAGCATTTTTTCATGTTTTTTGGCTGCATAAATGTCTTCTTTTGAGAAGTGTCTGTTCATGTCCTTTGCCCACTTTTTGATGGGGTTGTTTGTTTTTTTCTTGTAAATTTGTTTGAGTTCATTGTAGATTCTGGATATTAGCCCTTTGTCAGATGAGTAGGTGGCAAAAATTTTCTCCCATTTTGTAGGTTGCCTGTTCACTCTGATGGTAGTTTCTTTTGCTGTGCAGGAGCTCTTTAGTTTAATTAGATCCCATTTGTCAATTTTGGCTTTTGTTGCCATTGCTTTTGGTGTTTTAGACATGAAGTCCTTGCCCATGCCTATGTCTTGAATGGTAATGCCTAGGTTTTCTTCTAGGGTTTTTATGGTTTTAGGTCTAACATGTAAGTCTTTAATCCATCTTGAATTAATTTTTGTATAAGGTGTAAAGAAGGGATCCAGTTTCAGCTTTCTACATATGGCTAGCCAGTTTTCCCAGCACCATTTATTAAATAGGGAATCCTTTCCCCATTGCTTGTTTTTCCCAGGTTTGTCAAAGATCAGATAGTTGTAGATATGCGGCATTATTTCTGAGGGCTCTGTTCTGTTCCATTGATCTATATCTCTGTTTTGGTACCAGTACCATGCTGTTTTGGTTACTGTAGACTTGTAGTATAGTTTGAAGTCAGGTAGTGTGATGCCTCCAGCTTAGTTCTTTTGGCTTAGGATTGACTTGGCAATGCAGGCTCTTTTTTGGTTCCATATGAACTTTAAAGTAGTTTTTTCCAATTCTGTGAAGAAAGTCATTGGTAGCTTGAGGGGGATGGCACCCAGATTCATAAAGCAAGTCCTGAGTGACCTACAAAGAGACTTAGACTCCCACACAATAATAATGGGAGACTTTAACACCCCACTGTCAACATTAGACAGATCAACGAGACAGAAAGTCAACAAGGATACCCAGGAATTGACCTCAGCTCTGCACCAAGCGGACCTAATAGACATCTACAGAACTCTCCACCCCAAATCAACAGAATATACATTTTTTTTCAGCACCACACCACACCTATTCCAAAATTGACCACACAGTTGGAAGTAAAGCACTCCTCAGCAAATGTAAAAGAACAGAAATTATAACAAACTGTCTCTCAGACCACAGTGCAATCAAACTAGAACTCAGGATTAAGAAACCCACTCAAAACTGCTCAACTACATGGAAACTGAACAACCTGCTCCTGAATGACTACTGGGTACATAACGAAATGAAGGCAGAAATAAAGATGTTCTTTGAAACCAACGAGAACAAAGACACAACATACCAGAATCTCTGGGACACATTCAAAGCAGTGTGTAGGGGGAAATTTATAATACTAAATGCCCATAAGAGAAAGCAGGAAAGATCCAAAACTGACACCCTAACATCACAATTAAAAGAACTAGAAAAGCAAGAGCAAACATATTCAAAAGCTAGCAGAAGGCAAGAAATAACTAAAATCAGAGCAGAACTGAAGGAAATAGAGACAGAAAAAACCCTTCAAAAAATTAAAGCCCCCAGGAGCTAGTTTTTTGAAAGGATCAACAAAATTGATAGACCGCTAGCAAGACAAATAAAGAAGAAAAGAGAGAAGAATCAAACAGACGCAATAAAAAATGATAAAGAGGATATCACCACTGATCCCACAGAAATACAAACTACCATTGGAGAATACCACAAACACCTCTACGCAAATAAACTAGAAAATCTAGAAGAAATGGATAAATTCCTTGACACATACACCCTCCCAAGACTAAACCAGGACGAAGTTGACTCTCTGAATAGACCAATAACAGGCTCTGAAATTGTGGCAATAATCAATAGTTTACCAACCAAAAAGAGTCCAGGACCAGATGGATTCACAGCCAAATTCTACCAGAGGTACAAGGAGAAACTGATACCATTCCTTCTGAAACTATTCCAATCAATAGAAAAAGAGGGAATCCTCCCTAACTCATTTTATGAGGCCGGCATCATCCTGATACCAAAGCCGGGCAGAGACACAACCAAAAAAGAAAATTTTAGACCAATATCCTTGATGAACATTGATGCAAAAATCCTCAATAAAATACTGGCAAGTCAAATCCAGCAGCACATCAAAAAGCTTATCCACCATGATCAAGTGGGCTTCATCCCTGGGATGCAAGGCTGGTTCAATATATGCAAATCAGTAAATGTAATCCAGCATATAAACAGAACCAAAGACAAAAACCACATGATTATCTCAATAGATGCAAAAAAGGCCTTTGACAAAATTCAACAACCCTTCATGCTAAAAACTCTCAATAAATTAGGTATTGATGGGACGTATCTCAAAATAATAAGAGCTATCTATGACAAACCCACAGCCAATATCATACTGAATGGGCAAAAACTGGAAGCATTCCCTTTGAAAACTGGCACAAGACAGGGATGCCCTCTCTCACCACTCCTATTCAACATAGTGTTGGAAGTTCTGGCCAGGGCAATTAGGCAGGAGAAGGAAATAAAGGGTAGTCAATTAGGAAAAGAGGAAGTCAAATTGTCCCTGTTTGCAGATGACATGATTGTATATCTAGAAAACCCCATTGTCTCAGCCCAAAATCTCCTTAAGCTGATAAGCAACTTCAGCAAAGTCTCAGGATACAAAATCAATGTACAAAAATCACAAGCATTCTTATACACCAATCACAGACAAACAGAGAGCCAAATCATGAGTGAACTCCCATTCACAATTGCTTCAAAGAGAATAGAATACCTAGGAATCCAACTTACAAGGGACGTGAAGGACCTCTTCAAGGAGAACTACAAACCACTGCTCAATGAAATAAAAGAGGATACAAAGAAATGGAAGAACATTCCATGCTCATGGGTAGGAAGAATCAATATCGTGAAAATGGCCATACTGCCCAAAGTAACTTTCTCTGCATTTTTATGAAGCTGCTCTTTGACCTAATTTCCTCGTCTCTAATTTCTCTAAATGTATATCCTATGTCTGTGTTTATTTACCTCACTATTTAACTTTGAACATCATGCAAAAAATCTTTCTCTCTCTGCTTCTTTGCTAATACTCTTCATATTTTGTTCAGATATTATTCACTCATCAAGGAAGGTTTTCTCAATCACAGACCAGCCATGAATCTTGATCGCTTTGAGCAATTATAGAAATGATATTTAACTAGTTTAAGGAAAGACTTTTGACACACTTCTGAACATTATGGGGAAGGTTTTTCTGAGGAGCTTCTGTTAAAAGCTGGGCTTCCTTTGAAGATGAAGCTTCAAAAGAGACAGACCCTCTTCTTTCTTGGACATTATAGGGTCTGTGTGATTCCTAACACATCTGCAGAATCTTTCAACCACAGAGGGAACAAGCCTTAGAATGAAGCTGAGGCCTCTCAAGTGGAGAAATGGGGAAAAATTGTTCTTTAGTTATATTTTTGAGACACTGATTCCACAGGGGCTTTCTTAAGCAATTTTGAGTTGAGAGTTGAGTTGAGAGTTTGTTACTAACAGCTGAAAATATTCTAATATTCATAATATATAATACTGACTCTGTTCAGCAATTTTAATTATTCTTTAACTAGAAGTAATAAATCCTTGTTTTCCTTGATCTCCACTTATATTAACCATGCCATTTGCCAACTTTGGGCAACACCAAGAAACATCTGCTATCTCTGTTTCCTCCATCTCCATCCAGGCTGGTATGCATTGCAAATAAAGTTATATAATTATGCCAGTTGGTTCTCTGACAAGTTTATGTCATCTGACCTCAGCTGCTTTCTCAGTTTTGCTAGATGATTCTCTTTTTCTCTCTCTCCACTGGGATGTCTCATAGGCATATTGAACTAGCATATTGAACTCAGCTTGTCAAAATTTGAAGTACTCCTTCTTTTCTTCATGTATTTTCAGTAGATGATTCTGTTTTAATATATAATTCTGCTAGTTGTTTCAGGAGATGATTGTGCTGGTCTGTCTAAATCCTTAAAGTTCTGCCATATCCATTTCACATACCTCATAAAATCATCAGAAAATACTGTTGGGTCTTCCTCCATATAAATCCTTAATATAACTGCCTCCCACTTCTACTCTTAGTACACTAGTCAAAGCTATCTTCATCTCTTGCTTGGACTATCACCTAACTGATCCCCCTGTTTCCAGAGATTCACAGAGATTTGCACCACCATTCATGAGATTTCTACTTCCCTTCCAAAGAGTGGTTGAGATGCTCTATTGTAAAATATAAATCTGATCATGTCACTTCCCACCTTAAACTGGTTCAATGGCTTCTCATCACCTTTAGGATAAAATCTAAAGTCCTTAATCAGGACCTATAAAACTCTATGATTCAGATTCACCTCATGGCTTGCTTGGCCCCAGCCGTACTGGTCTCCTTGCTGTTCCTTGAACATCTAAACATACAGCCAGTTCAGGGCTTTCGTACTGTTCTGGTGGGAATACATTTCCTTCTCTCCAGATAACTTCTTCAACTTTTCTCTCACTTTATTCCATTTTTTTTCAAGCATTTCCTTATCAGAATAAGCCCCTCCCTGCACTCTTAGTGAAAACAGATGCCCTTGCTCTCTCCCACCTCTCTTTACCTTCCTCAGCTACCTTCAGATACTATCACTATCTGACAAAACTTTATGTATTGCTATATATTATTTATTTTGCCTCCTCGCTTTAAAATGTGAGTTCTATGAGGTTTGCTTAGAGAAATAAGACTTTCACCCACACTATTTTGTGAAAGTTGCTCTCTTGAACCTACCAATGACCTCTGTTTGGGCAGAATTTTGTCCCTCTCAAGTTCATATATCGAAGTTCTAACCCCCTAGTACCTCAGAAAGTGACTGCATTTGGGATAGGGTCTTTCAATAAAGTCATTAGAGTGGGTCTAAAGCAATACAAATCAGTCCTTATAAGAAGAAGAAAGTACAACACACATGCTTGCACACACACACACTGAGGGAAGGCCATGGGAAGACACGGCCATCTACAAGCCAAGGAGAGGGACCTTAGAAGACACCAACCCTGCCAACATCTTGATCTAGCCCCCAAAATTGAGAAAATGAACAAAGCCACCCAGTCTGTGTACTGTCATGACAGCTCTAGAAAACTAATACATAGACCTCCAAAGTGCCAAACTAACTATCCTTTACTCAACTACTTCAACCTTCTTTTGACTTTTGCCACTTTAAAATAAATTATGTAAATTAGTAATTTTTAAAACTTTATTTATTTATTTATTCATTTATTTTTGAGATGGACTCTCACTCTGTTGCCCAGGCTAGCATGTGGTGGCCATCTTGGCTCACTGCAACTTCAGTCTCCTGGGTTCAAGCAATTCTCCTGCATCAGCCTCCTGAGTAGCTGGGATTACAGGTGTGTGCCACCATGCCCGGCTAATTTTCATATTTTTAGTAGAGATGGGGTTTCACCACTTTGGTCAGGCTTGTCTCAAACTTCTGGCCTCAAGTTATCCACCCACCTTGGCCTCCCAAAGTGCTGGGACTATAGGCATGAGCCACCATGTCTGGCCTAAAAACATAATTTAAAAACAATACCATCAATGCCTTTGTACTCACCAGCCAGGCAAATAAATAGAACACAGGCACTACCCCAGAAGCCTCTTCCTGATAATTCCCCCATCACTCCACAGAGGCAACACTGGACTGAATTTTTTGAGGAAGTTTCACATGTTATATATAAATATGTGTGTGTGTGTGTGTGTGTGTGTGTGTGTGTGTGTGTATTAAACACACAAACCCCTTTAAACATCAATGTATTTTCTAATTTTAAACTTCATATAAATGGGCTTATAGTTATGCGTTGCTTAATGACAGGAATGTCTTCACAGAAATGTCATTAGGCAACTTCCTCATTGTGCGAACATATGACTATACCTAGAAGGCATAGTGTATTTATAACCTATTGCTCTCAGGATACAGACCTCCACAGCATAAGCATATTACTGTGCTGAATACTGTAGCCAATTGTAATACAATGGCAAGTATTTGTATATATATATACATACATAAATATAGAAAAGGTACAGCAAAAGTGTAGAATTATAATCTTATGGGACCACCATCTTATATGTGGTACATCATTGATGGAAACTTTGTTATGTGATGCATGACCTTATATGTATTATTTTGTGACTTTCTGTTTATGTTCAACGTTAAATATTTGGGAACTTTTATAATCAGAATTCATCATTTTGCATAAAAATAAACCATACCAATCCATCATTAATAACATTTAAAAACAAACCTGGAAAAATATTTACACAAATATGGCAGGAAAAGTTTTATAATCTTCCTTTATACATTGATTATAACATTTTAAAGAAAGTTCTTAACATGAAACATAGAAAGGGCATGAACAGAATTTTACAGAAATGGAACTATAAACAGCTGTCAAATACATCTGTATATTTACATTAATAGTAACAAAAAATAGTGAAATAGTATTTTTGCTTAACAAAGATTTTTAAAAGGACAAAATGCTACAAAAATTTGTTTAATGATAAAATGCAGGCATTGCTGTTTAGATGACAGTTTGGCAAGTATATGCCAAGCCTTTAAAAAGTCATTCCCTTTAATCCAGTCATTGCACTTCTAGCAATCATTCTAAGAAAATAATTGGGAATCCAGAAAAAAGGTCTATATACAAAGATATCCATTATGAGGTTATCATAATACTGAAAATGAAAATATGGGAAGTAACTAAATATAATGGCTACACTATTATCTGTGGGCCTTGGTGATTAGGTTATATTAATCACTATTTTCTGAATCTTGGGTAAATCTTGCTTGTAAATATCATCATCATATCACTTCAACATCTGGAGCTTTTGTTCTATAATTTTAATGGTGCTACTAAAAATATCAATTTATATACCATGAAACTGATTTAGAAGCTAAGAGCTAATTTATTGTCCTTCTTTCATTTCATTTCATGTTTCCTAAAAAGTCCACATTTGGCTTGGTTCTCTAAGTTAGTCTTGATGATTACCATAAAAAACTCTTTATTTTTTTAGAAGGTATGAAGCATTTTCTCTCAGAATCTCAGCATCATTCTTCTTGCTCTCAATGCCCTCCTGCATCTCCCTGGGGTAAAAATGTGGACACTACATTCCCTCCAGACTCTCCTGCCACCAAAAGGCAGAAGGGGAAGAATTGGGAAGTCATAGAAAAGAAGAAGCTGGAGTCTTCACATACACTCTTTAACCATTTATCCTGGAAAAGATCTTGTCATGATTTGCTTTGCTTCTTAGAGTCATAAAAAAACCTACAGTAGCCTATAAATTAATTATTTCTGAAAGAGAGTGCCTTGTTCTGATTGTGTCTCAGACTTGCTTTCTTTTCACTAGCTCTATCAACTCCCTCCCCTCTTGTCTCACTCCAATCTATTTTCTGCACAAAAGCAGCAAATGATCTTAAATTAGATCATGTCCTTCATCTCCTGAAAGCACATCAACATTTTTCTATTGAACTTACAAGAAATTACAAACATCTGAGTATTGCCTTTTAGATGTAATCAATGCCAGGCTGTTCATAACTTTACCCCTCTTACCTCTCCAACCTCATCCCATATGACTCTGTATCCTCACTACACACTAGTTACACCAGCCTCCTTTCAGGTCCTTGACATGACAAGCTCTTCCTTTACCCACACTTTTGTCATATGGCTAGTTCCTGTCCTTTAGATTTCAGCCTACATCACCTTCTTAGTGAGGCTTGACCTAATCATCCTACCAAAAACTTGTGTACCTGTTTTTCTCTTTAAATATAAAGAAAAATATAAAGAGCCACTCATTTTTCCTTGTGTTTTTATTAAATCTAATTGTTTTATTATTTGTTTGTTGGTTCTTTATTCTTCTGATATCCATTAGAATGGGAGCTTCAGGAGGGTTTGCAATTATTGTAACCAATAGCCCAGCAGAATGCCTGACATATGGTTGGTGTTTAGACACTTATTGAATGAATTAATTTACTAGAGAACAAAATGTTTTTGAAAATCTGTAATGTTTGAAGAGTAAGTTTTATTTTATCGTAGAAAAAAATCATTGGCACATTATAATACTAAAATATAACTCTGGAGGCTAAGACTTTATTTCATTAATGAAAATTATTCTGGTAGAAAGTACATCTTGGAGGATTATTTTAAAATTTCCTTTCCATTCTTACATGTGTTCCATCAAGGAATGTTTCAGCAAAATTATTTCTGAGTCTAACTAAATGAGCAAAATAAAATATTGAAGTTGTTGTGAGAACTTGGTAGCAGCTAATGGAAACCTTAGGGAAAATTTGAAAAAACCTAGGTTAGTTTAGATACAGAGGTGCTGTTCACGGCCTGACATATAGTTAAAATATTAAAATGTGCTTCTAGAAGTTGTACTCAAAGCTTCTGAAGGACAATTAAGGCTCTGGAAACTCCCTGTGCTGGGAGTTGTCCAACAACTGCTGGATCAAACCTAGTCACTGCAGGAGTTATGTTAATAATCATCAAGGCTATGAGTTGCCTCCCAAAGTTGAATTTAGAGACTCACACAATATTACTTTGTCCAAATAATTTATCTTCCAACTTCATGTTTGTTACAAAACTGGGAGTGCTAAGTACATTTATGTGGTTAGGCAAGGCTTTGAGTGATTAGTCATGATTCAATGGTAATGAAGAGAATATGCATTTTAGAGGTAATTTAAATGTAAGCTATTTGTCAATCTAAAATATATAGGCTAGATTTATATACTTGAATACTCAAATTGATCCCATGAAAAATGGGGTAAAGGAAAACAAAATATTTGGTTATTTCAAGATGGTTGAAGAGACAGCATTTCCTGAATGATAATATCTGATTGTATCTTAATCACAGACTAAATGTAATAACATATGAAATGAATCTAAACATCCTACTATCCTCTTGTCCCTCTTACACTGCAATACTTAGGAAATGGAGAAGGGAGGACAGGAGTAGTGATGGAGTTAAACATATAAAAGTTCTACCCAAAAAATAGTTTTCTAGACCTTCTTCTGCTACTGGCAGGAGAGGACAAAGCAAAACAACAAAATGTGTTTTCCATCACAGTGTTTAAGTCAGTGGGTTTGGTTATACAGTTTAACTTAATATCTTGGAGTTAACAAAAATATTAGGTTAAATATACAGATTACATCATCAGTGGTAATATCAGGATAAATTACAGATTTATTAGAAGACAAAATACACAAAATGAATATATAGTAACTTTAAATCAAATGGAAAAAATGCCTTGCTCTTTTAGAATCTACCCTAGACATCCACCACTGCCTTCTTTCCAGTTCAGGACATCATGACATCATTATTTTTTTATTTTTATTTTTTTGAGGTGGAGTCTCACTCTGTCGCCCAGGCTGGAGTGCAGTGGCTCAATCTCAGCTCACTGCAAGCTCCGCCTCTTGGATTCACACCATTCTCCTGCCTCAGCCTCCCGAGTAGGTGGGACTACAGGTGCCCGCCACCACGCCCGGCTAATTTTTTTTTTTTTTTTTTGTATTTTTAGTAGAGACGGGGTATCACCATGTTAGCCATGATGCTCTCAATCTCCTGACCTCGCGATCCGCTTGCCTCGGCCTCCCAAAGTGCTGGGATTACAGGCGTGAGCCACTGCACCCGGCCCAGGACATCATTATCTTTTAATCATTCTATGGCAATAACCTGGTACTTCATCTCCTTATATCTTAGTCCCCTCCTATACATATTTTCGACAATCACCAATATGATTTTCCAAGTGAGAAAATCTGATCATGTTACTCCTACCTTAAAAATTTCAAATGACTACTTCTTTTCCGTAGAAAAATGTTCAGACTCTAAAATGTTCTGCAGTCTTTCTTGATTCAGCTATCTATAGTCTATTTAAAACTAAAAAGAAAAGTAAAGACTTAAAATATGCATGCTCACTACAAATAATTAAATATGTGCTTCTCTGAGGATATTTATTTATGACCAAGGATCCTTGTCAATTGATATTCTAAAATTTATAGAAAATATGTAGTAATCCAAATTAGCTTATGGAAATTAATATTGAAAATTATAGCTATATGTATATTTTCTTAATTTGCTCATAATTATTAAAAACGGTTTTTGAAGGATAATATAGAATTATTAGAGATAGTATATGTGTGATGAAACATTTGTGGTGTTACATTTGCCTTGATATGCACTACAAATATTCAATAAGGAATAAGTTATTAAAGCAATGGATAACAGTGTTCAAGTCAGATAGAAGTGCAGTTACAGATAATCAAATCTGAAATATTTCCAAAATATGTCTAAAAGGAAGTCTTATTTTTTTAAGAATCAAATTTGCGGATCAGCACATGAAATAATATAAATCATGAACCTAATGGGGAAGTATATCAGTTTTCTAGAGATGAAAACTATAGTTTTAAGTTGCCCAAGTTATTCTTGTTAGTGGGCTTTTCTCTATACAGAAATCATGAATTAATTCAACAGTTATTTTTTAAAACCCTGCTACATGCCAGATAGTCCCCTAAGTGCTGGAGATTCAAAGGTCAACTGAGGCAAACAAGAGCTTGCTCCCATGGAGCTTAGCTTCAAGTAAGGATGGAGAGACATGATAAACAAATACAAATTAATAAATAAGATAATTTTACATGGTTACTAACATTAGGATGAAAAGTAAACAGTGCTATGATATAAGGAAGATTTACTCAGAGTAGCCTGCTACCTTAATTGCTGGCCATATATAGAGCTTTTCTGAGGAAGTGACATCAGAACAGAAACAAGAATGATGAGAATGAAACTAACATGCCAAGATCCAGAGAATTCCAGGCAGAAGGGAGAACAAGTAGAGATGCCTCAAGGCAGGGATAACACTGGTGTGTTCAAGAAGAGAAATGTCAACAGAGAAAGGGACAAAGCACTTAATTGAGATGAGAGAGAGGGTGGATTATATAGACCACTATAGGCCACAGTAAGAAATGTAGATGTTACCTGTGAGCCATCTTTCTTTCTTTTTTTTCTTTTTCTTTTTTTTTTTTTTTTGAGACGGAGTCTCGCTCTGTCGCCCAGGCTGGAGTGCAGTGGCGCGATTTCGGCTCACTGCAAGCACCACCTCCAGGGTTCACACCATTCCCTGTGAGCCATCTTTCTAACAGGAGAGTTATATGATTTGATTTGTGTTTTAAAAAACCCCCCTGTCTATTGCATAGATAATAGGCCTTGAGAGGCCAACACTGGGAGGCAAGAGGATCATTAGAATTGCAGCAGGGCCAGGCAGAGATGTGGAAATATGTAAATCTTAGCACATTTTAAATATGTGAACTGTGATTGCTGTATTGTAGGCATTTAATGTCTATTTGTTGAATGAATGAATGAACAAACAGCATAATGCTTATAAACATTAAGATCTAGTAGTGTGTTATAATCCTGGCTACGTATTTAGGGCATGAAAACCAAAAGAAAGTACTAAGAGTCTTTTAAATTTAGAAAAAAACCTGTAATTTCTGTTTGTATTTACACATTTGCCTCATTAAAATAATTTAAATGATTTGAAAATCCAAACTTAAAAACAAGAATATTCTAGAATGGTGTTATTCACCAAGCATCTGACATTTCATAACGTTAATTCTACAGTTTATTTGTACAGTTATGGTCAGAATAAGAGATAAATAATAGAAATTCTAAAATCAATAAGAATGTTGTCCATTAGTTGGCAAAAAGAGAAAAATATGAAAAATATCCTAAGTTTGGGATTAAAAAAATACTCTTCTATACATGAGCTATATATACTGAAATATCAAATTACAGCTGTGGTATGCTGAAATCAACCGATACAACCCCTGAAATCCAATTGTTAAATTTTTAGGAAATGTATGAGCAATGTGTTAAAAATGTAATTATTAAAATAGAATTTATGTAAACTTAAATTTAAAAGCTTAAAACAAATGTAGTAAATACTCAAAACCCATCATTTCTTAATATTTTACTATATTATAATGTTGTCAAATGTTTTTTAGGTTCTTATTATACCTGTATGGTGGCAATTACATATAATGATGTGCTACTGGGTAGCTCTTCACAGCTCCATATTAAGTGACATCACTTGGAAAGCTTGAAATCACACATAATGAGAATATTTACACCACAGAAACAGGCAAACATTATAAACAGGGCTTTCCCCTATCCCTAGTGATTCTACTGTTTAACATTTACCAGTGCCATTAGTGATAGGTAAACTGATGTTACCATCACTGCTACATCATCTCTTGCTGAAAACCTCTAGTCTAAATCCCAGAAGCTAGGTTCTCCTTTCGGTGAGGAATGATGAACCAAGGGTGAGTACAGAGAGCAAAAGCTCGCTGTGGCTGGCTTCTACACAAGAGAAAGAAGGCCCAGGGTTCAAGAGCAATTTATTTAGTTATTTGTGCTTTACCTTCCTTGAAATAATGGCCATATTTCCCTCTGATTTCCTTTTGTGAAACTGCCCACTAAGTGTAAAACTATTGAAGATGTTGACAAAGTTCTGAATATAGAAAATGTTTCAAAAATAAGAAAATTCTATTTTCCCCTGTCAAATTAGCAATGACTAAAAAGACAATAATATTAGAGTGGTACAGTGAGAAAAGCACTTATACTCAATGATAATAGGAATAGAAATTAGTAAGTGTTTTTGAAGAAATTTAGCAACCTAAAACACTTTGTCTTAAATTTAACCAGAAGAAAGATTAATTTATGAAAATGGACTCTAAAAGTATTATTTATGATAGAAAAAAACTTTAATGAGTTTGCATATTTGTTTGAAAGAATATCATTTATAATTTTTAAATAATTTACAAAAATGGAAGCTGAAACATGAAATTATATATGTATACAGAGTGACTATAAGTAAATTCAACTAAGCATTAACAGTAGCTATTTTAGGGTATTTGGAACATGATTATTTTCTTTTCCTTTCACATCTCTGTAATTTCTCTATTTTCTTAAAAGACAAAATTGCTGATGATTAAACTAAAAAAAATCAAAGTTCTATTTTGATTTGTAAAGGATGTATATATGTATTGTGGCAAACTTCACAAAAACATGGCATACAATTGAAGCCAGCATTTATTAAATACCATTAAATACTCTGGCATTGTGGTAAAGGATTTTTTGTTGGTTTAATATATAGCATATTTATTTCTTTATATCAAAATCACCAAATTTTCAATTTTCTTTTTTTTTAGTTTTCTTAAAATTTAACTTTTATTTTAAGTTCAGGGGTATATGTGCAGATTTGTTATACAGGTAAACTTGTGTCATGGGGTTTGTTGTACAGATTAACCAAATTTTCTTATAAATTATTTATTATCATCTTTGTTCTAGGATCTTCTGGTAATGTCAAAGCCTCTCATACATTTCTCAAATTAACATCTATTGAAATTCAGTATAATTAAACTATATCATGCATATAGGTTAAGAAAAATATGTCAAAAATTAAATAACAGATTGCCAGAAATAAAAAAAAAGAAATGACTGCCTCAAATATATGTATTTCCAAATCAAACAAAGGTGTGAGAAATAGAGTTTGTAGAAAAGGAATAGATAAGATAGAGAAAGAGAAAAGACAAAGGGGCTATAATTTAGTGTTTTTCTCTTTTACTACTATATCAATATCTATAGTCCAAGTGAAAGAGTTATAAGAGTATTAAAAATAGCCTAGTGTATTTCCTTTTGATAGAAGTTTGGTTATTATTAAATAATAGCCTAGTATTATATAGTATTCAATAAATTATGCCATTTTAATTGTGCTTTTTATTTGAAAATATTTAACTGACAAAGATTAAATATATTCAAGGTGAACAACATGAAGATTTGATATATGTATACATTGTATAATGATTACCACAATCAAATAAACTAATATGTTCCATACTGTATATTGGATCCCAAAAACTCGTTCGTCTTATGTCTGAAAGATTTCAACTGTGCTTTGACATCCAGATAATAATCAAGAAGTATGTGGTATGTCACAGACTTACTTTTGTGACTCATAAGAGGAGAAATACCAAGTTTCAGGGAATCCTTGATATGTCCAATCTACTTAGGAAAATATGGACACTGGTGTATCAGGCTTATCCCTACCCTTGGGAATCCACAGGGTCTAGAAACTCACAAGTACTTAGTTGAAATGTGTCTTAAATGACTCACTTACCTGAAATTTTGACTTGAGACACCACTCCATCTCCTCCATCACTGTGCGCGCGAACCTCCACAACGTATTCTCCATCTCTGGGGATTGGGACTTCTATGGAGTGTTTGTGAGTTGAATACAGCTTGCCATCATGCTGGCCATCAGGTCTGTAGAGTACCTTATAAAGTACAGAAATGTAAATATGCAGTAAAGTCATAATAATGAGCCAATGCTCTAACACTAAAACCAGAATAAAAATGCTTATACTTTGATTAACAAAAAGTAATAAATTTAAAACAAGAGGAAAAACTAAATTTAAAACTAGATGAAAAAAATCATGTTAGTTTCAATTCACAATAGTTGATTTTTGCAAGTTTGTAGGATTATCCAAGGAGATGTGACTTAAGCATCTGAATTTTATTTTTTGAGATGACCCAAAATAAAAATATAGAAAGAATGAGTCTTTTTAAGAAAAAAGTCCAAAATGAGAACTTTTAAAATATATTGAAATGGTCTGAAAATTGTCTCTCAATTTTTATTTTTACCATTTTCCATAAAATTTGGTATCCAGTGAAAAATGTGATAGTGTGTGATATAAAGAATATATTTAAAATAAGCTTTTCTCCTTTTTATTCATTTATAAACAGTAACTCAGTTTATCAAGGAGTTTTCTGGGTGCTGGGCAACCCTATCATAATCATTGCCAAACAAAAATAGTTTCGTTCTCTCTCCTCCTTAAGCTCTGATTATTCTATTTTATCTTTAAAGTATTCTACTTATCTTACACTTTTGACATAACATTTTGCTGAAATTCACTGAAGATAATGTTTTCCATTTCAAAATGTATCATGGCACTACGTTATCTGATTCTGCTCTACAACTATTAAATAGAATAAGAAAGTTGAATGGGGCCAGCCGTGGTGGCTCATGCCTGTAATCCCAGCACTTTGGGAAGTTGAGGTAGGTGGATAATTTGGGGTCAGGAGTTCGAGACCACCCTGGCCAAGACGGTGAAACCCTGTCTCTACTAAAAATACAAAAATTAGCCGGGTGTGGGTGTGGGCACCTGTAATCCCAGCTACTTGGGAGGCTGAGGCAGGAGAATCACTTGAACCCAGGAAGTGGAGGCTGCAATGAGCCAAGATTGTACCACTGCACTCCGGTCTGGGTGACAGAGCAAAATTCCATCTCAAAAAAAGAAAAGAAACCCATCTTGGGTTTCACTGAAATAGCAAGAATTGCAAACATTAATCATCACTATTTGTATATACCTTATATCCCGTCACTGTAGATTCATTTGATAGTGCAACGACATGATCCCAGGTGATTATATAGCGTGAACCAGACCTTACTGAACTGATGATCCTTGGAGGCTGGCTAGGAGCTGTGAAAAGTAGTAATATGCAATCAGTGGTCACTATATCCAATCTCAATTCTGCATACTCTATTGCATCAGGTATTATAATGCTGATGATAATGACCACCACCATCTAGTTTTAATAAGTGTTTACTATATGCCAGGCACTATGCTAAGCACTTTACATCCATGAGTCCATTTAATGTACCCCATGGCCCTGTGAGCTAGGTAATATGACTTTTATTCTCTTCTCATCATGCTCCACTTGGGTTTCTTTCTCCACTAGTCTTTTGAAATTGCTATTTGCAAGGTCATCAATCACCTCCACTTGGTTAAATCTAATGTCACTTGATTATTCTTTTTTAAATTTAACATTTTTGGAGCATTTCACAGAATTGACCATCTTCTTTCTTGAATCTCTCATTTTTTCTTAAATTCAGATCTTAACAACTGGGTTTTCCTTCTACCTCATGGGCTGCTGCTTCCCATTATTCATGCTTAGCTGGCTCCCTCTGTCAACTTGTAACTGTTGGATGATTTAGGACTTCATCTATGTACCTTTTCTACTCTCTCTGTGGATCTTCCCTAAGTACTGACACTTAGGCCCATGGCTTTAAATATTCACAGTTCTGTCTCTAGCCCTAATCTCTCTTTCAACCTCTAGACATATGTGGCTATAGGTCTCTCTGTCTAGGCAGATATCAGCCTATTTCTACTTGAGTCTCTAAAAGATTTCTCAAATGTAATATAATCAAATGTAATACATTTTTCAAATGTAATATAATGTCGAGTATCCTCAAATCTTTCTCCAATGACTCTTTGCCATCGTCAGCAAATGGCACAACCAACCCCCTAGTTTCTCAAGCAGAAATTTGGTATTTAGTCTCTCATCCCACTCATTGCCAACATCCAAATTGGCAGCAAGTTGTCAACTCTGCCTACAGAAAACTTTCCACTTCTGTCTCCATTTTCACTTAGTGCTAGCCACTATCAATTCTCTCCTTGACTGCTGAAATAGTCTCCTAACTGGCTTTTCTGCTTCCACTGTTAACCCACCACAATCCATTTTCTGTACAGATGCCAGAATGACTTTTTTAAAAACAACATCATAAATTAGATATCACTCTCTGTTTTAAAATCTTTCAATGGCTTCTTATCATGTTTAGAAAGAACTCAAACTCATCACAATTACTTACAAGGTTCTCCGTAATTGGGCCCCAGAACACTTCCCCCTCCTTACTCAGAACCTATGCCCTGGACCCAGTGGCCTTTCCACACCTAAAATATTTTAAGTGCTCTTCACCTTAAGGTTTTGTACTACTTAGAGTGCAAAGAACCTTAAGGCTCTGCCTAAAGCTATTCACATAGTGGGTTCTTCTTATCATTTATCACTCAAATCATAGCTTAACTGGCATCTTCTCAGAGGCCTTTCCTGGCCACCCAATCAGAATTTCACTTTTATCTAAGTCACTTTACTTTTGTCTATTTATTCATTTTATTGCCCTGTCAGCTGCTTTAATCCCACTTATTTATTTGTCAGAGTTTGTGTTTGTTTGAAGTTTCTATCTCATTTCATTAGCTTGTAAACCATGCGAGAATAGCACCTTGGACTGGTTTGATCCCTTTTGTATCCTCACCATCAAGAATAGTGCTGAGCACACAGCATATTTTTGATGAATGAATAAATACATGAACAAATGGAAAAAGAACAAAAATGAATGCTCCTTTTACAAATTAGAAAACTGAGGTTTAAATAGGTAATTTATCTATTGTCATACATCTAGCAAGTGGCAGAGACAGATCTCAAACACATGTTAGACACCAAATTCTAGTTCTTGTCACTACATTCTGTCATCTCACTGGGAGAGTCTCTGTCCCAAAGTGAATTTCATAAATTTTCACACTCTAATGGTAATCACATCTTCAGATTCTTGAGACATTCCCTAGAGTCCTACATAAAAATTCTCCTTTTTACTTATTCCACTTGGGTTCAAGAACAGAGATATCAAAATGAACCCAGAGAGATTAGAATGACCAGAACGTGAGCAGGGATAGGCGGTCTTGTTTTATGAACCACCTAAAACATACAGTACTAGAACATACAGTAATAAGAGAGTAAGCATAATGCTACACACTTAACTTGCATTGCACTGTGCAATGACAGAGGTTTATAAATTAAAGCATGTAAAAATAAGCAGAATTTTAGTTTTCACATGCTGTTGATGTACTCCTATGAAAACAATGTTTAAATTAATAAGTACAGGGTAAAGACAAGTTAATGGCACAGAATTTGAGAGGACAGCCTTTACAAAAGGATAGTTCTCTAACTTTATTTCTATAATGGAATATTTAACGTGTGAGGGTATTTTTCACATTTTTTCATCATCTACAATAATTCACGTTTTAAGGGAAATCTTGTGTGGCTGTAAAGGATATTGAAAAATGTGCTCAGGTAGCTAGGTAGGAAATTTCCTTCAAATATATTCGTATCATGATTGAATCCAGTGGTAGTTTTTGACAAGTCTAAAAACAAAACGTGAGACTCACGTGCTTTCTTGGTGAAAGCCTCAATCATGTCACTTGGAGGTCCACACCCTGCACTATTGCAGGCCCCGACTTCTATAAAATACTGGGTGTCTGGCAGAAGGTTCTCGAGCCTGGCCGAGTACTCTTGGCTGGTGACTTGAACTCTGTTTGCAGCTTCTTCTTTGTCATGGGCAGCCCAATACCGAATCTGCAAACATTCAGGATGAGTTATATTTTGCCATGATTTAGAGTCTTCAGCTATGAAAAGTTCTCTTCAACTGGTTCTATTACCATTGGTGTTGGCTGATCATCATATTTTCAAATGTTTCTTAATGATATCTACCCTTTTATCAGCCTTAGAATATAGTAAAGCATACAGGGCAGGAATGACTAAAGATGCCAAAAGCGAATCAAAGTCTTACTTCATTGCCCAAAATTGTTTTACATTGACTAAAAAAAATAAAAAATAAAAAATTTAAAAATCCCAAAAACTTTGAAGCAGACTTACTTTCAAAATATAAAAGTGGTCTCCATTTGGAAGTATTTGTCACTATAATTTTTATCATTTATTTCCTGTTTTACTTCTGTTTGCATGATTTCAAACTTCTTCTGAGCCATTCTTAAAGCAGTTGGAGAGGAATATAATTTTGCTGGATAAAAATAGTTACTATGTGGCCTAGAATACGCTAAAGTAATACTTTCTTCTGCCTCCTTTCAGAAGTATCTAATGTTATTTCCTTTGAACCCATATAGAAGCTAGATATCAAAGAAATATATCTAATAACTGGATAAACTGTAGAAATTATTTACCCATAAAATAATTTTTAAAAAAGTTATCGATTTTTTCATTAGAAATGATTACTTTTGTCAAATAATTACAGGATTACTTTTCTCTTAAAGTTTAAGAAAAGTTATGGATTATAATTTTCATCTTTAAATAAAGGCTTTTTTGCATTCAAGATTTATAATTATATCTAAGGTATGAATAAAATGAATAAAAATATGTTATATGTAATATAAGAATAAAAAGAAAAGGATTATTTGTAACTATCCTGATATTTTACATATTTTAGATGCCCTGTCTATAAAATAACGGGATTGTAATTTCACAATTAACCAAAATGCCTAGATTAAAATGTCTAATAATAATATAATCCTGCATTTTTTATTTACATAAACATGTAAGAAACTATTATGAAGTGCAACAGGATGGCTCAAATTCACTTCACAAAAGTGAGGTTTATGTGTTGAATGAGCACATTTCTGGACATTCAGAAGTGGATGAATGCTTCCCTTTTCATCCCAAGCAGGGCAGCTTCAGAGGCACATTTATAAAACTCCTCAAAGGTCTCAAGGGATGGAGTACCAGTTGCCCACAGTGGTTGCCAACAAGACAAATAGCACGTTTGTATCTGAGCTCCCCTCTTTCCTGTTCACTCTGCCTTTTCCTCATACCTGCTTCCTAGGATCATATTGAAAACAAACAATTAACAACAATAATAAACAACCTTTCTCCACATCTTTGTTTGAGGCTCTGTTTCAAAGAGATTCAGACCAAAACGGATGTCTTCTCCAAAATAAGAAAATAAAGCACTTTCTAAGTAATCAGTTTCGGCTCACCATAATAATTTAAACTTTAAAAATATTTGAGTAGACTATACAGGATTGTTCATCTTTTATGATGACTGAAATCAGTCATCTGCATTAATCTCTAATTTAGGTGCTAAAGTTTTTGCATTCATTATTCCTGGTAGCCTATTTTACTCATTTTTGTTAAATTAATTAAGTGAATATTTTACCCACTGTGTGAGCAAACTAAGTCTTTTGTGGATTCCTGGGCAAGAGCCCAAAGTTCCAAAATGCCCTTGATAAGAAAGACTTCTTGTATTCTTCTAGCTTACCTACACTATAGAAAAACTCCCTGGGTATTAAGATTGAAAGTGGGGAGCTCTTTAACCAAGTAAGATAAAAAAATACTAAGTGACATAAACATTCTACTGAGATACACTTTAAAACCACAAGGGAAGAGATTGTCTTTAAATTCAATTGCTCACAATTCTCATTTGAAATGTCAGGAAATGAACCTTGAGATGGTGTCAATCAGGCAGGAGTCAGGGCTTTCCAGCTTTATATTTTATGTTTTCAATGTGCTGCTTTCTTTCTGTGTATCTTTATACACAGAAAAATAGAGATCCATCGTACATTTTCATGGGAAGTGCATTGGGGTATTGGTTTTCACCATCATCTATCTTGTTAAACCATTGGCTTCTCCCATCATATTTTAAAATGGAAACAATAACCACATTATAGTCAGTCAAGACCCCCCTCCCCCCTACCGGCCACAGTCACAGGAGCATTTCCTGCAGAACAATAAATAATATGGATTTTTCTCTTTTAAGTGTTCGTGCTTGTCTCTTTGATATCCAAGACCCTGTGTAAAAGGTTTAAAAGGATTTTAAGAAAGAATGAATGGGAAGAATAATTCTATGATTTACTTCCAGCAATTTTAATCAACCGTTCTCTGGAGAGGCAAGAACTAGATTAAAATCTGATTATGACAATTATTACTCAGACAAACATTTCTAATCCTCAAGTTCTTCATCTCTAAAATAGGGATAATAATAGTGTCTATCCTCTAGGGTTGTGTGGATTTAATAAAATGAGCTTAGTTAAGTGTTTAGCACAATAAGAACTCAAGACGTGTTATCAGTCTTTTCATCATTAACATCATCATCATCTTCCTCACTGCCATCAGCATCATCATCATCACCACCATCTTGGAATGCCCAATGACATAAACAGGGAAAATTCTTAAATACAGGTTATTTAATATCTTTCACATAACAGTTCTATGAGGCAGTGGTTACTTTCTCACTTTATAGGTGAGGAAACTCAAAGTTCAAATCAATTTTCTACAAAATTCTTAAGTGACAGAGCTGAAATATAAACCCATGTTTGCTCAGCAGCAAAGTGCATAAGTTTTTACTTAATGTAAGTTGGAAAAGGTCAGACATCTGTGAAACCAACTCCTCATGGTACATACTTTTCCCTTGAAATTATCATTTGAAAAAAATCTTCTTTGATAAAGATTACTTTTTACTGACTATGTGAAAATCCTTAATCAAGGTTTAGTTCCCAATTAAAAAAGCATATTTAATTTAATTATCATCTGAATCATTGGTTCCACTATGTTGCTTCCTACCTCTTATTTCTTTTGTCTTCTTCTTGTTAAAAGTAAGCAAATCGTCAATATATAATTCTTGGCATTAACAAAGATAATATATAATTTTCTAGCATGTTTTAAATAAAGTAAAATATGTCATATATTTGGCATTTTGACTCAATGATATGGGTTATATGTTAAATTATCCTTTTTTCAATATTTATTAGTTAGAAATAAATAATATAAAAGAAGAAAAAAATCCTGTGCTCCAAAATTTTACTTTCCAAGCTCTACACATTGATGTCTTCTCCCAAAGATACCTCAGGCGTATTTATTACAGGGGTTTGTAACATCTAGTGAATTTCTCTCTTTCCTACTAGCCGCAAACACAATTGTCAGGTTAGTAAGTTATGAATATTGGGTATTCTCAGTCTAATTATTCCCAGTCTACTCTTCTGTGTACTGTAATAAATTCAGCTGAACCCTTGCATAGATGATCTGAGGGCTCTTTAAGATCTTCCCAAATTATAACCTATTGTGTCAAAAAAAAAAAAAAAAAGCTTCCTGTTGGTCTGGGTGTGTCTGCTCAAAGCCTTGAGTTTCTTTTACAGCTACATCTCAGAAACATGGCCTTGAGAAAGCCCAATTGTAACATTTTATTTAATCATACTTCATTATTCCTATCAGTATTCAATTAATATCTATTTAGAGCCTGCCAGGTGCTCAGCACTGGTCTTGCATGGCACTGAGAATAGAACAATACCCTGCCCTCATGGGGCTAATATTCCATGGACAAGGGATAAGGGAGGGTGCTGAAGCTGAGAATGCAAGCTGGCTGGGGGAGTGGGGTGGGTGGAGAGGCAGCCCTAGACAGCACTCACTGAAAAAAAAAACAGGGAAGTCTGTGATGTGTGGCAATAAAACCCCGAACTTTGAATCAGACAACTTGAGTTTTAGACACTGCTCTGACACTTTCTGTAAGTGACAACTCAGGCAAGTTGTCAAATCTCTTTGGTATCCATTTGCTCATCTGTAAAGGAAAAACCATGTTAATTCCTTTGAATTTTCACTTCTTGCACTTAAAAATGTGAGATGATGATTTCACATTTCCTACATAACTCAGTCTAAATTGCATTAGCATTGTATTAAAGACCCTAACTAATCTCTCTAGTTTTGATTTTCCAGTTTTTACTCCCTTGACTAAGACAAGTTTTCTCATTTGCGTCTGACTGATTCTTACTGGTTCTTTAAAATTAAGCTCAAGGGAAGTTTTATTTGGGTCATTTTGATTGTTACTTCATAGATAACATAAGACATATTCGGTATATTTAAAATTGTTTACTTTGGAGGGACTTTTCGAAATGGAACTACTGACTCAAAGAGGATGACTATTTTCAGGATGCTTCTATAAATTACCAAAATGCTTTCCAAAAAACTTGAGATTCACTAGCTTTTTATGAGAATGTTTTCCTAAAAAGACCTTGGGTAATCATAAGTGTTATTACCATAGTTTTTATTTTGGCCAATTGTTTGCCAGGACTTAGGTTTCTTTACATCTCCCCTAGATAGGCCAGTTAGGAACCCCTGTTTTATTCTTAACAATTAACTTATATATGACCACAATACTAGACACAGAGAATAAAGTATTAGTTGCCACATAAATTAATGGGACATTGAAACATACAACACATTTGAAAACGTATGCTTATATATTTATGAATAAATGTATTTAGTTTGATAAAAATTTAACGTACCTGATAGCTTTCCACTATTTTTTCTAAAACATGTTCCCAATGAACAGATATCTCAGAAGATGATAAGACTTTTACACCTACTTCTGTTGGGGCTTCACTGGGAGCTGAAATTTTATGAGAACATTATATTATTAGTGAGATATTTACATTTAAGAAATTCGAATAGCATCATTTGCTATATGAATGATGTTGGACCATACTTTAATTTTAATGTTTCTAAAATAGCTTTACTATTTTCAAACTAAGTGCAATTATTTCATTACCTCTTCCTGTATTTTTCTAATGTTACTTTATTTTATGGCATTAGTGATACATGTGCACACACACATTCATTTACATAAATGTTAATATAGACATATACACATACACATTCCCACACACACTTTTACCAAATACAGAAAGCTTCATCAATTTCTATTACATCTGTGAGCAAAAAAAAACTATTTTTTTAATTTCTCTCAACTGATATGCTTAAGAAAGCCTGTTGATGCAAATTAAAATTATTAATATTTAGCTGTCAACTCTATATTATCAGAAATAGGAAATTTGGAATTATAGAAAATTGTTCAATATAATACATTTTCTCTTATTTGCTATTTGTGTGAACTAACTACAAACAGCAATATTATTAATAAAACTTCCCTTTTTATGTTCAAGCTAAGATCTTTAAAAAAAAATTTTTAAGAGCCTTTGAAACAAGTTGTAACATCCACTGTTTCCTGGGCTCAAGAAAGCTTTTATATGTCTAATCTTCCAACTGGGCATCAAGTCAAATATGTATCAAAAAGGTCTCTGTTCACAGAAAAAAAGTAACTGACATCCCTTATGAAATTTACACAAAGAAACCAATGAAGGCTTTAAGCAGGGGTGATCAATTTTTATTGTCTTTCATTAAAATGCCATAATCCTATTTAATGTTTAAAAATGTTCTACACATGAACACTGTTGACTTTCTAAAACAAGGCAAATGTGTAGCACTATGATTGATTTCTCAGCAGTGGAAGAAGAGATTAACACTTATACAAGTTTCAACACATGCAAGTTTTATGAGACTCATGAAATATTTAGGAAAGAAATATAATTAAATACAAATAGCCATGACTAAATAGATGACAAGCTATTTGCCTGAAAACTTATTTTAGCATCAAGTAAAGCAGTAAAAAGGTGAGAAGGTAACTTGTAAAATGCTTAAGACACTCATTTTATCTGTAAGATGTACTCGTTCTTCAAATTATTAAAACTGAGTGAAGTTATCATATTTCATTGTTGTTTTGTTTTGTTTTTGAGATGGAGTTTCGCTCTTGTTGCCCAGGCTGGAGTGCAATGGCGCGATCTCGGTTCACCACAACCTCCACCTCCCAGGTTCAAGTGATTCTCCTGCCTCAGCCTCCTGAGTAGCTGAGATTACAGGCTTGTGCCACAACACCTGGCTAATTTTGTATTTTTAGTAGAGATAGGGTTTCTCCATGTTGGTCAGGCTAGTCTCGAACTCCTGACTTCAGGTGATCCGCCCACCTCGACCTCCCAAAGTGCTGGGATTATAGGCATGAGCCACCACGCTCAGCCAAGTTATCATATTTCTGCTGAATGAGCACAAGCATAGAGAATATAAGTTTGTCATCAGGACTTTTCCACTGTTTGATAATAAACAAATTATTTCTACATTTTATTCTTTTGACATATTTGGTTGTGCTAACTTAAAAGTAAAAAAATACACACATACACATACACACACACACACACATATATTAAAATACACATACTTTTGTATGCAGTAAAAAATATAGTAAAAAGTATATATATAACTTTAAATATATACATATATACTTATATATACACACATATATACTTTAACATATATGAATAACTGCCTTTTATATTAAATTTTGTTATGTATATTTAAGACATATGACATGGTATTATGACATACATATATAGAATACAATGGTGTTTAATAAAAGTAAAGATCATAGGATGATTTAATTATATATTACATTTTTAACAAATACTAAAACTAATAATTCTGTGACCGATGAATATACGTGAGAATTTCTGTTGAGGTATAAGGCATGGCTAAATGTCTATCTTGGAGTGAAAACAATGGAAGTTGGGTGAACCAATAGAGCCCATTTCCTCTAATGATAGAAGAGTACCTCACACACCTTTAGTTTTCAAGCTCTTCTATTTGTGCTTCTCACACATGTGCAAAGAGAAACTTGGCCAAGGGTAAATGTACATTGCCAAAGATCAGAAGGCAATGACATCTCTATTTGTTTTTCTAGTCATTAATTATTTACACAGTGCACATGAATAAAGAAAGCTATTATTATTATTATTATTTTTTTTTTTTGAGATGGACTTTCGCTTTTGTTGCCCAGGCTGGAGTGCAATGGCCTGATCTCGGCTCACGGCAACTTCACCTCCCGGGTCCAGGCGATTCTCCTGCCTCAGCCTCCCAAGTAGCTGGCATTACAGGCATGTGCCACCAATCCTGGCTCATTTTGTAGTTTTAGTAGAGACAGGGTTTCTCCATGTTGGTCACACTGGTCTCGAACTCCCAACCTCAGGTGATCCACCTGCCTCAGCCTCCCTAAGTGCTGGGATTACAGGCGTGAGCCACCATGCCAGGCCAGAAAGGTATTATTTTTAACAAGAATATAAATAACAAAAGTATAGCAGCTTAAACAGAAATCAGAGAAAATAATGTAATTATGCTCAATCTAAAACTGTGTATCATTTGTATAAATATATAAAGTCTTCTATGACCATGGTTAGTTAAGTTAAAGTTTCTAGAAAAACAAAAAGAGCTGGTATTAGCATTGTTTTTTTCCTAAATGCCCTACAGGACAAATTTTTCCCTTTTCAAGAAAACAATTTCAACTGACCTCTTTTTCATATAATTATGTCTAGATTCCCTTTAACAAAATTTGTGTTCTGTATTGTAATAAAAAGTTACGTAAATGCTGCAATTAAACACATTTTTAGGTTAGAATTTGGGGCCATTTTACAAATAATATATATAATATATACATTACAGAAATTTTTTTTTTTTTTTTTTTGAGACGGAGTCTTGCTCTGTCCTCCAGACAGATCTGCCTGCCTCCGCCTCCCAAAGTGCTGGGATTACAGGCATGCGCCACCACGCCCGGCCATATTATAGAAGTTTTAAATTATAAACTTTATGAATATACAGACATGTTGAGATTCTGTTCAAGTATGGAGAGTTTCTGACTACAAAATTATAATCAAGAGCCCAAAAATGGAAGTCAGAGCCAATTATTTTAATGGGGATTTCCTCATACCATGGGCATGATCTAAATGATGAAAAAGACTCTAGCAACATTCTCATCATTTAGATGAAGAGGGTGATGTTTAATTTGGTTCAAAATAGTACTCATTTACTAAATGCATAATGCTATAAAAAGGTCTTAATAAGTAAGGCCTGAAAGGAAACAAACTAAATGCCTGCTAGAGAAATACGTTTTTCCTCCCTCCTCAGGTAAGAAGGTCTTTCTTTCACCTACCGTCTTGTGCTGAATTAATGACTGCTACTAGGCTGTAAGGTCCATCTCCTTTGTTGTTGAAGGCCTTGACTTTAACTTGAAATGCAGTGGAAGGGCTCATGGTTTCATCTTTATGGACATATCGGCCAGTATCAGGATTAGTAACTGTGACTTTTTTCCATTCTTCTCCATCAAATGGCTTAAATGCCACTATGTAACCAAAATTGTTGCCATAGTGGTATTCTCTTGACAAAGGCTAAATAGAAATTAAAAGATTGAGTAGGTTTTAGTAATACAGGTAACAGGGAGGAAATGCTATGGGGATAATGACACACACGGAGGCGTGCTCTTTGTAAAAACATACACAGTTCATACATTAGTGCTGGTTCCAAATGTCAGAGGAAAAACATACTTAAACATGGGATGATCTTATTTACCAAATTGTAGCCTCACTACTCCTAGAACACCTCAGGGGCCTCTCACTCCGGGCCTTTTTCCTTTCAGTTTCTTCTGCCTAGAATGTTCTCCTAGATGTTATGTGACTCCTCCCACCCCCTCACTTTCCCGAGGTAAAATCACCTCGACGTTTTCTCCGACCACAGGTTCTGCCACTGCAAGACTCCAACACAATGCTCCATGTCCCGCACCCTACCTATTGTTTTTCTTTAACCCTAACAAAGTCTATACAGTTTACTTATTTATCTACTTTATTGTCTCTCTCAACTACTAGAATACACGTTTTATGAATGCAGCGTTTTTGTCAGTTTTGTTTTCCTCTTTATCCCTAGCACCTAGAACAGGGCTTCAAGTAATATGTATTAAAGGGATGAGCAAATGAATTTCATTAGAATTGAAAGGCAATGGTAAGAGAGTTATATAAGACTCTAGCCTAGAATATCTACCTTGTGATCGAAAAGAAACTGGTAAGAGGAATAAAAGTAGGTGACAAGGAGGAAGGGACAATATTGCACTCATTTGTAGGAGGATGGCTTTGGGTTTCTATCTCCAATTCTAAAGCAAGTGCTTGGTTTTTCATCATTTTCTCAAGGTTTCTTGTCACTCATGTAAATTGCCTTATAAAGAAGTCTATGTCAGCCCTAATCACCTATTATTAATAAAAACTGACTTACAGCTACTTCTAGTGAGTACTTGTCAGTTAGCCTTTTTTGGCAATTTAGGTAAATGTGCACATTGTATATTTACTTTTTTTTTTTTTTACCAGAAAATCAAATTTAAGATGTCTTGAGGCAAAACCTTGAAGTAAATATAACACTATTGCTTGGACATACTTATATTAAATAGGAAGATATAGAAATGTGGAAAGGTCAAATGGTAGAAGCTGTATGTGGTTGCACAATATATTAATAGGTATGTGATTTTAGATTATTAGATAGTATAGCCTAACATTTCTACAATAGTTTAAACATTTTTCTTATTGATAGTTCTCTACTTAGTTTTTGGAATTTAGAGTATAACAGAATCAGCTATGAAAATTTCAAAAATAACAACTCTCGGGCTCTATCTCCAGAAACCTGAATTTGAATCTTTGGAGGAGAATTTCCAATACTGAATTTTTTATAAGGCCCATCTTATTCTGTAGCAGATATCCACAGAATTTATAAAAAGCCATAAGAGAAAGAGCGAAATGTTCTAATTTTTATAATATTTGCATTTTTGGACATTTCATTGGCAGTTAAACTTAGAAATAAATATTTTACGATTCAGATTAGTTTTTTTTTGCTAAATCTTGCTTTAAAATGTGATTTAAATGCTAAGTATAGAAAATGACTACAAAGCACACAGTGAGTCAAGTTTTGCTAAACATTCATTTATTAAATAAATCCATTTGACCAATGCAAAGAATAAAACCTGTCATTTTTTCCACAGTCTTCAAAATCCTTTGGAGCCTAAATTGTGCTCTTTGACTATCTGCAGTGATTCAACACTAAGTGTATTTAATGAATAAATGAATCTGTATAAACCATGTTATCTGGATAAATGCCAGATGTCTAAGTCAGACAGTTTTGTCAGACAACTTTTCCCACCCCTCCCAATATCTTTCCTATTTCAAAAATCCAGCCAAGATGTATTGTTTTCTAGAGATTGTAGTCTCTGATACAGAACTCTTTGACTCACGAAACTGTAATAAAATGCTTTGGATACCTCAGTAACTAGTCCCATGGGTGACTTCTAAGACTGACCTATCATGCTAGATTACACCAGTGATCAAAGTAAGCTTCAAGTGAGGAGGCAGTCTCCAATTTAAAAATGGGTTTTGATACAAAGTTTGTAAATGGAATCTTTGGAATTTAGAATGTCCAGAGACAATGTTTAAAATTACAATTAGATTACCAGACTACAATGATCAAAGTATCTCTGGAATCAGACAGCTGAATGTTTAATCATCTAGGCTAACAGATCTCTTAGCATCCAGGATTCATTCTTGCATAGGAGCTACACACTAAGCCACAGTAAGCCAGATAAAATCTGATTTGCATTTAAGAAAAAAAAATAGTAATATATTCTTGCTTGTGCAGTAGGCAGTCACTTTCATCTCAATTTATTTCAGGAAACAAAATGGGGTGGAAGTTAAATATAGATACAGCAACCTATAATATGTGCAACTCATCAATACTTACCGCCCATGTTATGGTCAGCTCTCTGTTTCTTCCACCTCCACCTCCTACATCTGAAGGAGCCACATTTGGTGCTGAAACAAACAAACAAATATATGCAAAACAACAACAAAAAGAGGGCCTGCATTTTTTTCCTGGTGTTAGAATTCTTATTCACCACAGAAACCACAAATGTTTTTCTTTTACTAGGAAAAACATACTGGACAAATGATCCACTCAATTATAATAACAATGGCTCACAGTAGCTGTAATAATCAGTTTTTCTGCCAAGATAAAAATTGATTTGGTGCCATAGGAAGTGTGCCCATTTCCTGTCCTTTCAGTTAGTATGATTTTGAAAGATTACATAGACTGTTGGAAAAAGATTTTGCCACTTTTACTTTTGAAGCCTATGAACTTCTAACAACTTAATGTTGTGTTAGTTTCATGCTTCATTCTACAAATAAATGTTAAGAAACCATGCATTTGTATTGGATAATGTTTCCCCAAATATCTAGAAATATTATAAATCTAATATCGTCTCTTATGCTCTCACTTTCAATTCCCCAATTTTTTCTGAAACTGCGCCGTCAGTGACTCCAAAGTACTCTCTCCCCCGTTCTCTTATATCATCTTGTAGTATCAGTTTCCCTGCTAGAAAGACCCTTTGTAGTCTCTGATCTTAAAAATCTTTCTGTCATACTGCTTTCTTCTTAATCCCTAAGCCATCACATCCTTTTCTGCCACTGTACTGCATGGAAGAACTGATATATGGCTATTTTTTTTTTTGTACTTCACTCCATAATCACTTTTTAACAACCCACAATATATCCAATATAGGAGTTAAGAAGAAATCACTGAGGCAGAAAGTAAGGGTATGGGAGTCCTTGGTAAGGCTTTGCTTTTTAATGAAAAGCAGCCCCAAATCATTTTCTAAGAAAGAGCAGCCTGTAAAGTCGAGCTGCAGACATAAACAAGCAAGCTGGGAGCTTGAACGGGTGAATGCCGGCAGGAACTATGGACTACACATGTTCAAGATGGCGGCTCCATCTTCCCTTTTCTTTCTCAGCCACATGTACAGTAAGAAGCAGACAAGATGTCACTGATCAACTGGAAAGCCTATTTGCATAATAAGATTAGGGTACAGTGACCAACCTTCCCCACGCACTATGTAAACATCATACCTGATCAAACCAATCTGTGAGCCCTATGTAAATCAGACACCACCTCCTCAAACCTGACTATAAAATCCAGCGCATTCAACGCCAGCCAGTCTTTTCTGCTCGGGGACCCCTCTCCCTCTACAGAAAGAGAGCTGTTTCTCTTTCACTTCTCTTCTGCCTATTAAATCTCCACTCCTAAACTCCTTGTGTGTATCCATGTCCTAAGTTTTCCTGGTGTGAGATGATGAATCCCAGGGTATATACCCCAGACAACATAGCCATTTCATACTGGGGACCTCATCCATGATACCAGCGTACAACATTAATTGAAACAATGAGTAGAGGAGCAGACTCCAACTCTGTCCTTTCATTCAGAGGCTATTGGCCTCCATTTAAGAACCAAATCAAACCAAATACTGGACCCCCTTCAGCCATAAAATAATTAGCGTGGCTGCCAGCCATATAAGACTTGGGGGACAGGCTTACTGGGGAGAACATGGAGAACCCATGGGTTGCTTGGCATATTGGCCATGTTTGAACCAGCTTCCTTTCATGGAGTACTCAGCCGTCATGTGGGGCTGGAAGGAGTCCTGGAGCAACTGAGGATTTCTGGCTGGGGCTATCCCTGGTGTTATCCAAAGGCTACTGGACTGACCCCAGCCTCTGTCCCCACTGATGGGCTATCGGCCACAAGATCTCCAACTTTCCTATCATAATTTCTTTCTTTCCTGTTGGCAACTGTCATAACTCTTATCCTCTCTGTGTATGCAATGTGTGGGAAGATTTATGGTTCAGGGAAGGAATCCTGTTTGGCAAGATCAGATAATGTCATAGTAAATGGGCATATAGCTCAAGGGAAGGTGTTTTTGTGATGTTCTAGAAACAGAGGGTACCCCCAGTGAGCATCTCTCCCTGCCCTTGTTCTAGAGAGCACATGGCATTTCCAGGTCTCTCTCTCTCTGCCCTTGATCTGGAGAGCACATGGCATGTCAAGGTCACTCTGCCCTTGGTCTGGAGAGCACATGGCATCTCAAAGTCAGCAGCACCACCTAGTGGAATAGGAATCCTCTCCTTTACCCAAGCACTCTAGCTTCCCAATTCTCTCCCCTTTTTACGCCTCTCTACTAGAAACCAGGCTTTATGCTGTTTCTGTGAATGGGAAAACTCTGCCTTCAGCAATTAGGAGTAAAATGTCCTCCAAAACCAAATTTTAGTCTTAATACTGTCCTTCCTTCAGGAAAATGGCCATTTGGTCCCTACATTCTTTTAAGATACCTATTCTGCCTCCAATTAGAATGGTACTTAATTAGTAAGGGGATTTTAAGTCAGAAGTTAACTGGAATGATTCTCTAAGGGTAAACACTTTAGCATGGGCCATAATAGCAGGATATAGAGCTCAAACCAGCACGCTTCCTCCATTAAGGAGGCGAGTGCAACAATTGCCCAAATGCAACTGTTACATAGTCTTTCCCAAGATCCATTTTTCAGAGAGCCCCAAAGTCTAGGCAGAGGACTAGAGTTGCATGGGTGAGGGTGACTAAAACCCACCACTTAGTTCCTCTGGTTCCATGGCTGGGGAAGCCACACCTGCAACCATGGGCAGCACATTTAACAAGGTGCCAGGATGCCAGGAACCATGGAGAGAAAACAACAGGGGGACACCCCCACTGTCTTTCTCCCACCCTGGGTCACATCAAAAGGAAGGAGACTAAAGGGATGCCTTTTTTTCCTTCTCTTTATCATCTAAGGCCTGTACTCCTCTGGAGTGCATTCTGAAGCACAGGGACTCCTTTGATCCTGAGACTTTGAAGAAAAAATGGCTCATTTTCTTTTGCACAAGGGCATGGCCTTCTTACTAGACCTTTGCAAGTGTAGCAATCATATCAGGCAGGCCCAAAGGGAATGATTCCCTAAGACTAGAAAAGCAACTTCCAGAGGAGCCATCTGAGAATCCCCGTTATTTGGGGTCACCTCAAGTTCCCATCTCATTACAGAATCTTAGGCAAATAAAGGAAGATTTAGGCCAATTTTCTGATGATCCTGATAGGTATATAGAACCCTTCCAAAATTTAACTCAAGTGTTTCACCACACACGGAGAGATGTTTTGCTGCTCTTAAGCCAAATCCTAACCACAGTGGAAAAGCAGGCAGTTCTGCAGGCAGCAGAAAATTCTGGCGATGAACAACATGTCTCCTGTGGTAGATTAAAAAGGAAAAAGGAGATAAGGAAGGCAAAGAAATAATGGAAACACCATTCCCGATAGGAAGGGAAGCAGTTCCTCTAAAAAAAAAAACAAACCCTAGTTGGAACACCGGTGATGCCACAGATGGATGGAAAAGGAAACACCATTTAATGCACATATTGGAGGGCCTATGAAGAGCAAGGGCAAAATCTATTAATTACTCTATACTTTCCAAGATAGAACAAAACCAGATGAGAATCCTGCAGCCTTTATGGAAAGACTGATAGGCACTCATAAAACATACCTTTATCCCCTGAATCAGTCGAGGACAGCTCATCCTAAGGGACAAGTTTATTAAAAAGGCACCTCCCAATATTAGAAGGAAAATACAGAAGGAGGCTATAGCACCAGATAGCATCTTGGAGAACCTCCTAAGGGTGACCACTTTGGTGTTTTATAATAGGGACCAGGAGGAGGAGATCCAGGAGAAAGAGAGGAAGCAAAAGAGAAGGACAGAGGCACTAATAGCTGCTCTGCAAACATACAAAGCCCAGGATCCCTGAGGTACATCTGCTAGTTTCTATAGGTGCAGCAAGTCAGGGCACTTTAAGAAAGAGTGCCCAGGCAGCAAGAAAAAACCACCTTAACCTTGTCTAGCCTGTGGAAGGAACCATTGGAAGTCGGACTGCCCCCAGAGATGAAGGTCACCGGGTTCCAAACCAGTCTCACAGATTGTCCAACAGGATTGATGGGTCCCGGAGCTCCAGTGGCTCAAACCAACATACAGCACAGGAGCCCTGGGTGATTCTGGAAATTGAAGGAAGGTAGATCTCCTTGTGAACACTAGAGCCAGTCTCTCTCTCTCTTCTCCTCTCTAATCCAGGCCTCCCCTCTTTCTGTAGCATGACCAGGCATCACAGGGCATCTCAGGAAAAAGTCTAATTCAATATTTTTCACAACCCCTTAGGTTGCAGATGGGGAAACCTATTATTGACACATGCTTTTTTAATCATGCCAAAAAGTTCCACTCCTTTATTAGGTAGAGATATTTTACTTGCAGGCAGACCAGCATCCTTATAGCCCCAGGACAAACTCTGTCACCCCCTGGTAGAAGCTAATATCAATCCAGAAGTGTGGGCAACTGAAGGAACAATGAGTTGAGCTGTAACTGCTAGGCCAGTCCAGATCCATCTTAAGGATCCCACTTCTTTTCCTAACCAGAAACAATATCCACTGAAGCCAGAGGCTAGGAAAGGGCTAGAAGCCATTACTAATAACCTGATGATGCAGGGCCTCTTCAAAACCTGAAGCAGCCCATTCAACACCCCAATGTTAGGAGCACATAAAACTCAATGGGGAATGAAGACTACTTCAGGACTTCCATCTCACTGAGGCCATAGTCACAGCCTTTCCATAGGAAGGGCCTTCAATCTGTATGTATCAGAAAGGAAGGAAATGACCTTGGGAGTTTTAACACAGGTCTGTGGACCAGCTCAACAGCCAGTGGGTTACCTGAGTAAGGAACTTAATTTGATGGTTAAAGGATTGCCAGCATGCCCCTGATCCATTGCTGCAGTGGCTCTACTGGTCCCAGAAGCCTCCAAATTAATCCTGGGAAATGACATGACTATTTATACCCCATATAATGTGGTGGGATTACTGTCCTCTAAGGAAAGCCTTTGGTTAACAGACAGCAGGCTCCTTAAATATCAAGCCCTACTATCAGAGGGTTCCACCATCCAGTTAAAAACTTGTTTTTGCTTAAGCCCAGTCACCTTTCTCCCCAAGGGAACTGGAGGACCTGAATATGACTGTGAACAAGTTGTGGTACAGACCTATGCGGCCAGGGAAGATCTCAGGGAAACTCCCCTAGAAAATCCAGATTGGGCCCTCTTCATGGACAGAGGCTCCTTTACAGAGCAAGGAGTACAGAAGGCAGGATATGCAGTAGTCACTCTGAATGTTATTGAAAGTGTGTCTCTCACTCCAGGCATAAGTGCTCAACCAGCTGAACTGATAGCTCTTACAAGAGCACTTGAGTTAAGCAAGGTAAAGGTAGCTAACATTTACACTGACTCCAAGTATGCTTTTTTAGTTCTCCATGCTCATGCTACCGTTTGGTGCAAAGAAGGTTATAAAGGAAAGAGATTTTATATAAGAAGGGATCTTGTATGAGAAATACTTGTCCTAAAGAAAATAGCTAGTTGTTTAAAAGAGAGATGTTTAGGACAAGTCAGAAGGTTTAAGCATGTCATAGATGGTTCATGGAAGTCATGAAAGGATTAGAAGGATGGTAAATACATGTCCTAAAAAGAATAGTTGGTTGTTTAAAAAGAAGGATGTTTAGGACAAGCCAGAAAGTTTAAGCATGTCATAGATAGTTGGTGGAAGCTGTGAAGGAATTAATTGCAGGAAAGATTTAGCTAGGGTTAACACTAAAATTACACTAGCCACCCAATGACATATTTCTCCCAATCATATTGCAAGTTAAAAAAGATGACCTAGACCAGAAATTATCCCCTAATGGCAAAGCAACGGGGGTATATATGTTTTTCTCAAAGAAAAAAAAATGTTGCTTTTATATCAACACTTCTGATAAAGTACAGCAACATTTGGTAGAAGCAAACCAGTATTTCATTTCATCAAAATGACTGACAGGTAACAAACCCTACTGTTATGATTGTGGCCTATGGTACCTCCACTAATAGTGGCAATCTTAATAGTCATATTCGAACTAACATTCATCTCTTCTCATTTAGAAACAATCAAACTCCAAATGGTGCTGCAGACAGAACCATACATGGACATGCCTTTCTTCCAAGGACCCTTAGATTGACCCCAGGAGGAGCCATAGCTGCTGTTCCCCACACAATGCCCCTTTATAGGAGGAAGTTGCCAGAAAGAGTCATCATTCAAATGACCACTAACAGCAATTAGGGTTACCACTCCAGAGGGGGGAACGATATAGAAGTTAAGAAATCACTTAGGCAGAAAGTAACTGAATGAGAGTCCTTGGTAAGGCTTTGCTTTTTATTGAAAGGCAGCCACAAATCATTTTCTAACAAAGAGCAGCCTGTAAAGTTGAGCTGCAGACATAAACAAGCAAGCTGGGAGCTTGCATGGGTGAATGCTGGCAGGAAGTAAGGACTATACATGTTCAAGATGGTCCATCTTCTCTTCCCTTTGTCGGCCAAGTGTACAGTGAGAAGCAGAGAAGATGGCACCAGTCAACTGGAAAGCCCATTTGCATGCTAACATTAGAGTGGGACAACCACCTTCCGCATGCATTGTGTGAACGTCATACCTGATCAAACCAATCTGTGAGCCCTATGTAAATCAGGCACCGCCTCCTCAAACCTGACTATAAAATTTGGCACATTCACTGACAGCCAGTCTTTTCCACTGAGGGACCCCTCTCTCTATAGAGAGAGAACTGTTTCTCTTTCACTTCTCTTCTGCCTATTAAACCTCTGCTGCTAAACTCCTCGTGTGAGTCCATGTCCTAAGTTTTCCTGGTGCAAGATGACAAACCCCAGGGTATATACCCCAGGTGATATAGCTGCTTCATATCCATTTCTTTAAATAACTGAAATTTCTCTTTAAAAACACACAAAACTGGCCGGGCGCGGTGGCTCACGCCTGTAATCCCAGCACTTTGGGAGGCCGAGGCGGGCGGATCACAAGGTCAGGAGATCAAGACCATCCCGGCTAAAACGGTGAAACCCCGTCTCTACTAAAAATACAAAAAAATTAGCCGGGCGTAGTGGCGGGCGCCTGTAGTCCCAGCTACTTGGGAGGCTGAGGCAGGAGAATGGCGTGAACCCGGGAGGCGGAGCTTGCAGTGAGCCGAGATCCCGCCACTGCACTCCAGCCTGGGCGACAGAGCGAGACTCCGTCTCAAAAAAAAAAAAAAAAAAAAAAAAAAAAAAAACCACACAAAACTGCTTTTAACTGCCAAGTCCAATGGCCTCTTCATTGATTCTCTCCAAGTTTTTCTCTCTCCTTCAAACTCCTTCAGGTAAGCACTGTACCTTATTGGATTTGTATGCTTAGCACCTAACTGGCCTTGTACAGATGAACAAAGTATTCATTGTTTGTTCCTGCAATCTGGGCACCACCCAGCTACCCAGCCATCTGGATGAAGTCCATGTTTCTATAGAGGACATACCTTTTCCCATGCAAATGCTTTGACTCAGTCTGACATACCATCCTCAAATCTGTTAACATTTCAAAGAGATGAAATATTAGTCCCCAAATGCCCTCCCATTTTGGAATAGCCACATCTTCCTTAGAGTGCTGAAAGCAAGGTATCCTTTTACTGAATTGTAGCTCCTAATAATTGTGATTCAAAGATACCTACATGAAAACTTCTGATATTAGCTATGTAAATTCTTTGGTGAAGTATGTACATTAATTGCACAGAAACAAATAAAACTATATGCAGAACTATATGGTGGATCACACCTGCTTAGGGGACACAGAGAAGACATCCAGACTTTTCCCACCAGTACCCAGCCCCTGAGCTAATACCACCTCCAGCATGCCCACACACAGTCTCCAGCAGGGGTCCTCTGCTCCTGCCTGCCAGCTGTGTTGCCTCTGCCACTGTGGTGAACACCTGCAGGGAGGCAGATACCCCAGCACTTGTTAGCACTCTGCTACAGCTGCTACACCTTAGCCCTCCCTTCCAGTGCAGTGGATTCCAAACCTTGAGGAGCCAGAGGACAAAGTCAGGGCCTAATATGAGTCCCCCAGAGTTATAGCATGCAGTCCAGGAATTGGGAGGTGAATGTTGGCCCCATAAAATCTTGCAGAAGCTAGTCTACTGAATCTACCTTATACCACAATCAAACCCTCAAGGTCATCAAATAGGATAAAAGAGAAAAAAAATCAAAGGTTGTCAATTTCAAAGCTTAAAGGTAGATAAGCCCACAAAGATGAAAAAGAATCCTCTGAGAAGGCTTAAAATTGAAAAAGCCAGAGTGCCTTGTTTCCTCCAAATGATGGAATCACCTCTCCAGCAAAGGTTCTGAACTGGGCTCAGATGGCTGGATTCACAGAAATAGAATTCAGATTATCCACAGGAATGAAGATTACTGAGCTAGAGCAGTATACTGTAACCCAAGGTAAGGAAGCTAAAAATAATTATAAAACAATGAAGGAACTGACAGAAAAAATAGACAGTTTAGAAAAGAATGTAACCAACCTGATAGAGCTAAAAGACACACTACAAGAATTTCATAATGCAATCACAAGTATCAACAGCAGAATAGACCAAGCAGAGGAAATAATCTCAGAGCTTGAAGACTGGCTTTCTGAAATAAGACAGTCAGACAGGAATAGAGAAAAAAGAATAAAAAGAAATGAAAAAAATTCAAAAAATATGTGACTGAATCTGCAACTCATTGGTGTCCCTGGAAAAGAAGATGGGAAGAATGGAACTAACTTGGAAACCATATTTCAGGATATCATCCAGGAGAACTTCCCCAACCTAACTAGTGAGGCCAATATTCAAACTCAGAAAATGCAGAGAACCACAGTAAGGTACTTCACAAGAAGATCATCCCCAAGACACATAATCATCATATTTTTAAAGATTGAAATGAAAGAAAAAATGCTAAAGACAGCTAGAGAGAAAGGTCAGATCAACTACAAAGGAAGCCAATCAGACTAAAAATGGACCTTTCAGCAGAAGCCCTACAAGCCAGAAGAGATTTGGGGCCAATATTCAACATTCTTACAGAAAAGAAATTCCAAACCAGAATTCTATATCTAGCCAAACTAAGCTTCATAAGCCAAGGAGAAATAAGATCCTTTTCAGATAAGCAAACACTGAAGGAATTTATTACCACCAGACCTGCCTTACCAGAGCTCCTGAAGGAATCACTAGATATGGAAAGGAAAGACCAGCACCAGACACCACAAAAACACACTGAATTACACAGACCAGTGACACTATAAAGCAACCACATAAACAAGTCTGCAAAATAACCAGCTAACGTCATAATGACAGTGTAAAATCCACACATATCAACAGTTACCTTAAATGTAAATGACTAAATGCCCCAATTAAAACACACAAAGTGGCAAGCTGGATAAAGAACCAAGACCCATTGGTATGTTGTCTTCAAGAGATCCATCTCACATGCAATGACACTCATAGCCTCAAAATAAAGTGATGAAGAAAAATCCACCAAGCAAATGGAAAACAGTAAAAAGTAGGGTTTGCAATCCTAGTTTCTGACAAAACAGACTTTTAACCAATAAAGATAAAAAAAGTCAAGGGAATTACATAATGGTAAAGGGTTCAATTCAACAAGAAAATCTAACTATAATAAATATGTATACACCTAAGACAGGAGCACCCAGATTCATAAAGCAAATTCTTAGAGAGCTTTAAAGAGACTCAGACTCCCACATAATAATGAGTCTTTAACACCTCACTGACAATATTAGACAGATCATCAAGATGGAAAATTAACAAAGATAATCAGGACCTGAACTCAGCATTGGATCAAATGGACCTGATAGATACCTACAGAACTCTCCACCCCAAAATAACAGAATATATATTCTTCTCATTGCCACATGGCACATGCTCAAGAATTGAGCACATAATTGGAAATAAAACACTCCTCAGAAAATGCAAAAGAAATGAAATAATAAGAAACAATCTCTTGGACCACAGCAAAATCAAATTAGAAATCAAGAATGAAATTCACTCAACACCATACAATCACATGAAAATTGAATAACTGCTCCTGAATGATATTTGGGTAAATAATAAAATTAAAGCAGAAATCGAGAAGATATTTAAAATTAATGAAAACAAAGATACAACATACCAGAATCTCTGGGACACAGCTAATGCAGTGTTAAGAGGAAAATTCATAGCACTAAATGCCCAATCAAAAAGTTAGAAAGATCTCAAGTTAAAAACCTAAAATCACAACTAAAAAAACTAGAGAACAAAGAGCAAACAAATCCTAAAGCTAGCAGAAGACAAGAAGTAACCAAAGTCACAGCTCAACTGAAGAAGTTTGAGACACAAAATTTCATTCAAAAGATTAACAAATCTAGGAGCTGGTGCTTTGGAAAAAAATAAAATAGACTGCTAACTAGACTAATGAAGAAAAGAGAGAGGATTCAAATAAACACAATCAGAAATGACAAGGAGGGATATTACCACTTACCCCACGGAAATATAAGAAACCACCAGAGGATATTATGAACACCTCTATACACATAAACTAGAAAATCTTGAAGAAGTGGATAAATTCCTGGATACATACCCTCTCCCAAGACTAAACAAGGAAGAAATTGAATCCCTGAACAGACCAATAATGAGCTCTAAAATTGAGTTAGTAATAAATAGCCAACTAACCAAAAAAAAAAAAGCCCAGGACCAGATAGATTCACAGCTGAATTCTACCAAATGTACAAAGAAGAGCTGGTACCATTCCTGCTGAAACTATTCCGAAAAATTGAGGAGGAGGGACTCCACCTTAACTCATTCTATGAGACTAGCATCATCCTGATACCAAAACCAGGCAGAAATACAACAAAAAAGAAACCTTCAGGCCAATATCCTTGATGAACATCAACGAAAAAATCCTCAAAAAAAAATAACTGGCAAACCAAATCCAGCAGCACATCAAAAAGCTCATCCATGGCAATCAAGTAGACTTTATCTCTGGGAAGCAAGGCTTGTTTAACATATGCAAATCAGTAAATGTGATTCATCACATAAACAGAATTAAAGACAAAAACCACATGATTAAATCAATAGATACAGAAAAGGCTTTTGATAAAATTCAACACCCCGTCATGTAAAAACTGTCAATATACTAGGTATTGAAGGAACATACCTCAAAATAATAGCAGCTATCTGTGACAAACCCGGAGCCAACATCATACTGAATGGGCAAAAGCTGGAATCATTCACCTTGAAAACTGGCACAAGACCAGGATACCATCTCTCACTTCTCCTGGTCAACACAGTATTGGAAGTCCTAGCCAGGGCAATCAGGCAAGAGAAATAAAGGACATACACATAGGAAGAGAGGATGTCAAGCCATATCAGTTTGCAGATGACATGATCCTATATGTAGAAAACCCATAGCCAGGTGCAGCAGCTCATGCCTGTAATCCCAGCACTTTGGGAGGCCGAGGCAGGCGGATCACGAGGTCAGGAGATCGAGACCACACTGGCTAACATGGTGAAACCCCATCTCTACTAAAAATACAAAGAATTAGCCGAGCGTGGTGGTAGGCACCTGTGGTCCCAGCTACTCAGGAGGCCGAGGCAGGAGAATGGCGTTAAACCGGGAGGCAGAGGTTGCAGTGAGCGGAGATTGCACCACTGCACTCCAGCCTGGGCAACAGAGCAAGACTCCATCTCAAAAAAAAAAAAAAAAAGAAAGAAACCCTATAGTCTCAGCCCAAAAGCTTCTTAAGCTGATAAACAACTTCAGCAAAGTCTCAAGATACAAAATCAATGTGGGAAAATCTCTAGCATTCCTATACACCAACAACAGTCATGCCAAGAACCAAATGAGGAATGCAATCCAATTTATAATTTCCACAAAAAGAATAAAATACCTAGGAATGCAGACAACTAGGGAGATGAATATCTCTACAAGGAGAACTACAAACCACTGCTCAAACAAATCAGAGATGATACAAACAAATGGAAAAACATTCCATGCTCGTGGATAGAAAGCATCAATACTATAAAAATGGCCATACTGCCCAAAGCAATTTATAGATTCAATGCTATTCCTATTAAATTACCATTGAGATTCTTCACAGAACTAGAAAAGACTCTTTTAAAATTCACATGGAACCAAAAAAATAAAATAAAATAAAAGCCCAAATAGCCAAAGCAAACCCTAAGTAAAAAGGACAAAGCTGGAGGCATCACACTGCCCAACTTTATTCTACAGGGCTACGGTAATCAAAAAAAACATGGTACTGGTACATAAAAACAGACACATAGACCAATGAAACAGAATAGAGAACCCAGAAATAAGGTCACACACTTACAGCTATCTGATTTTTGAAAAAGCTGACAAAAACAAGAAATGGGGATAGGACACCGTATTCAATAAATGGTGTTGGGATAACTGGCAAGCCATATGCAGAAGATTGAAATTGGACCCCTTCCTTACACCATATATGAAAATGAACTCAAGATGAATTGAAGACATAAATGTAAAATCTCAAACTATAAAAACCCTGGAGGACAACTTAGGCAATACCAGTCAGGACATAGGAATGGGCAAAGATTTCAGAAGATAGGAATGGGCAAAGATTTCATGATGAAGATGCCAAAAGCAATTGTAACAATAGCAAAAATTGGCAAATTAGATCTAATTAAACTAAAGAGCTTCTGCACAGCAAAGGAAACTACAACAGAGTGAACAGACAACCTAGAGAATGGGAAAAAAATTTTGCAAACTAATCATCTGACAAAAGTCTAATTAATATCCAGCAGCTATAAAGAATTTAAATTTACAAGAAAAAACAACCCCATTAAAAAGTGGGCAAAGGTCATGAATAGACACTTTTCAAAAGAAGACACACATATGGCCAACAATCATATGAAAAAAGCTCCACATAATGATCATTAGAGAAAGGCAAATCAAAACCATAATGAGATACTATCTCACATTAGTCAGAATGGATATTATTAAAAAGTCAAAAAATAACAGATGCTGGCAAAGTTGTGGAGAAAAAGGGAACACTTATACACTATTGTGGAAGACAGTGTGTCAGTTCCTGAAAGACCTGAAAACATAAATACTATTCGACCTAGCAATCCAATTACTGAGTATATACCCAAAAGAATACAAATTGCTCTATTCTAAAGACCCATGCATGAGTATTCATTGCAGCACTATTCACAATAGCAATGACATGGAATCAGCCTAAATGCCCATCAGTGATAGACTGCATAAAGAAAATGTGGTACATATACACCATGGAATACTATGCAGCCATAAAAAAGAACAAGACCATGTACTTTGCAGGGACATGGATGGAGCAGGAAGTCATTATCCTTAGCAAATTAGTGCAAGAACAGAAAACCAAATACTGCATGCTCTCACTTATAAGTGGAGGCTAAATGATGAGAACACCTGGACACATAAAAGGGAACAACACATACTGGGGCATATTGAAGAGTAGAGGGTGGAAGTTGGGAGAGAATCAGGAAAAACAACTAATGGGTACTATGCTTAATACCTAGTTAACAAAATAATCTGTACAACTAACCCCCATGACAGAAGTTTACATTATATAATAAACCTGCACATGTACCTCTTAACTTAAAATTAAAAAAAATAAAACTATATGATTATTTTGTTTCCCCATAGAGAAATTATTAATAATATGAAGTTTGAGAGATTTTATTTTACTATTCAACTGTGATTACATGACTGTTAGAAAATGAAACTGACTACACAGGGTTAAAAAATAATTTGTAGCACTTTAGATATAATATATATTAAGAGCTGGAGTATTAAAATAACTTCTAGGAACTCTTTTACCCCTATAACTCATATTCTGAAGTTAAAACTTTTCATGCTATAGGAAAACAAAAAGTAAGTTGTCCTATAATCAAACAATAAGGGTGTTTAAGTACAAGTATAGTAGTCACAGGCAAATAATTTCAAAAATAACTCTAAAATATTATACTGCAATTTGTTGAATCAAATATTGCCTTCCTTAGGACAAGTATTATTTGTTAAAGCATTTTACTGAAATGTTTTTCATTATAAGCAATATTAGCCTTTTTATTTGGAACAGACCTAAAAATGGAGTATGTTTAAATTAGATTGAATATCTCTTTCCATTTTATCATGTTTCTTTTAAGCACTTTGTAATATATTTTCAAGACTGATTTGCTCTTCAGAGATCATTCACTGAGCTCAGTCCATGGAAAATGGGACATAAACAAAAGCACAGAATAGGCCGGACATGGTAGCTCACATCTGTAATCTAGCACTTTGGGAGGCTGAGGCGGGCGGATCACGAGGTCAGGAGATCAAGACCACCCTGGCTAACACAGTGAAACCCCATCTCTACTAAAAATACAAAAACAAAACTAGCTGGGCGTGGTGGTGAGCGCCTGTAGTCCCAGCTACTTGGAAGGCTGAGGCAGGAGAATGGCGTGAACCTGGGAGGCAGAGCTTGCTGTGAGCCGAGATCCTGCCACTGCACTCCAGCCTGGGCGACAGAGCAAGATGCTGTCTCAAAAAAAAAAAAAAAAAAAAAAAGCACAGAAGAACAGTAACTGCTTCTCTTAATAAAGTGTTTTTATATCTTACTTGGATTATTGATTTAATTTCTCTCATTTAGCTTTGAATGTTCAATTGTAGCCTTAGCATATTAGAAAAAGTTTTTCACAGGTGGAATTGACACAAAACCTACATATTTAACATGAATCTGAGAATAGAGGAGTTAGGTGCTCTATTTGCACTCAGCCCTGCAGAAATGGGGACTTGGCCAAAGCATGATTTGTTTCAGGGAAGTAAATCACCCTAAGTACAAGGAAGCTTAAGTTTAGGCTCCAGTGCACTTAACAGGAAACAAACTAGACATTCTTTACACAATAAATCATTAAAAAGAATTTAAACTATTCAGAAAAATTATTGAATTATTAATCATTTATTAATAACATGTATAATTTTACTGTGAACGGTTAAAAATAGTGAGCTGCTTTAACTTGTCCTTTTGTCTTAATTTCTATTTAATAGTAATTCCCTTATGATGCTTATAAGAGTGCTTCTGTATTTCAGTCATAGATCTAAAAATTTTTTTTAAAGAAAATCAAGCCAATGCCATGACTATTCTTTCCCATGAAAAGAAATTAATGCTGCCAATTTTCCTTTCAGATCTGAATGCTTAAATAATTTGCATATAAGTATCTCTTTGGGCTTTGATGTTTTATTTAAGAATGTACAAATTGGCTTGTGACAAATCCTAAATTATAAAAATTATAAAGTATATGAAGATAAGCTCTTGATTGAAAACATATTGACTACTTTAATTCTTGTTAATTATAACTTTAACTTATACAGTCATTTTTACAGATGAAAAGTTAATCATGAATGTAACTTTTTACTTTAACTTGCATTGGAATTTCATGGTGATTTAATACAATTTTTTTAGTAAGAGATTCAACATGGTTATGTAAATAGTGCTCTAGTTTGGAAAACCAAAAGGACTGAAGTCTAACACCTGCATTAATTCTATATTTATACATACATTCTTTTTTATTATACTTTAAGCACTTAAGTATATAATTCTGAAGAGCTATCAAAAAAATCAAATGAACTATATAATATTTTAATATTAAAATGAGAATAGTTCTTTGCAACTCTTCTGAGCGCTTGCTCTGATAGAGGAGTGGATTGCTAACACCCCTAATATAATCCACCATGTTAAAATGATGTTCCCATTGTAGCTTAAAAAGATAGAGGGTCACAGATAGTTATGTCTCATCAGATAGAAATTGTAGGTTTGTTTATTGTTATAGGCCTTGTTTTCAAACAAGAAATTTAAATAGGTGAAGCAGAATGAGTTTTTAGTTGCACAATGAAATGATAATCTAAGAATAAGTCAGTTGGGGAAAATGTTTGGATGGGCAGAAAAGAATTCTTTACATTAAAATTATAATTATCCACAGTAAAATTCTTATGAAGAATCCAAACCAGTTACAGACTATTTGTTTAAATTAAGTTAAAAAATGACCGCTTTCTTCTTTCATCAGTATATGGACAATAGCATCGAATGTATATGTTAAACTTGTTTTCAATCATCAAAACACAATGTATTTGGCAATAGATTCTTCTAAATTATAATATGCAAATCTATTGTTGCCTTGATCACTCCTTTTTTTTTCATCATCCTCAATTAACTTCCAATAGCCCCAATCATCATCTTACCCTCCTGGTTTCTCCTTTTTATCTTCTACAAATATTTTTGAGTACCAACTATGGACATTGTGTTGTGTGAAGCACTAAAGATAACAATATGAATAAAATCAGATTCCAGTACTGGATATGATTTTCTCATAGTGGTAAAAAATAAATATGTACAACTAGTTTTAATTCGATATGTTAAATATAAAAGTTTGCTGAATGAATGATCTCAGCTTAATAATACACACATCTAGAACTTAGAAGTTATTTTCATATACTTCATCTAATTGGATACCCAGATCAGCATCATGGAGAATTGGCATTATCCCCTCTCTTAATAGGAAAGGCAAATGTGTCCCGAATACACTAATTAACTTGCCCAGATTATACTGCTTACATGTGGAGAAGCTGCCATCTTTAATTCAGGTCTTCAGATGGCTTAAAAATCTATCCTCTTTGCTTCTTTTAAAGATTTATCTATTTAAGTATTAATGACAGCAACTAACATCACATAGTACCTTACCAGCTATAAAATATTTTCTTAGTTCTATTCTTCTCTTTTATCAAATATGTGTGAAAAAGAGAAAGAAAAAAGAAAGAATGAGAAAGAATACTAAATGAAAGAACAACAGACCTTCATTAGGCATGAAATCAAGGCTTTATACATAATATGAAAGTGTTGTTCCTGGTTTTATTCTTTTTTCTCTTTCCTTTCTTTGACTGGCTTGATCTGGCTAATAAAGAAAGCTGTTAAAACAAACCTGAATGTACCATTTTAGGATGTGGACTCACCAACTGAACCTGCAGAGCTATTAGCCATGGGGGCATGTCTTACAATGACACATTATTTCAAAGGGTACTTTTGTTATCTCTTTTCTACAGTCAAAATTAAATGGGTTAAAATGAATTACAAATACATCTTCTAATTTTTCATTTGGGAGCATCCATTTTATAATGCACGTGTCTGAATCCAAAGAATGCACCCAAGTGTGCGCTGAGATCTTAACATTAAGTAATTGGACAGATAAGGGCATGTGTGGCATTGGATAATGTCATGTCTTTCAATCAGCATAATGAGGCTGGGGACCAACCTTTCCATCAAATGGGAACCAGCCTTTGTCCCACATAGCATATGCTGGCATCTCTTAGAGAGTTGTTATAATGGTACACGACAAGACAAACATCCCTCATTTAGAAAGTATTTTTATTTTCTTATAAAAATGAAAAATGTAAATGTCCAATTTGATGCATATTCAATTTTAATAAAGCAAGTAAATGGCAAAACAGTAGAGAAATTCTGTAGAATTTTATATCAAATACATAAAATGACTTTTAAAAGATTATTGAAAATTACATAAAATTATATGATCTTTCTTCTATGCTTATAAAAATTGGAAATGTATTGCTAAATGGGTAATCCATTACAAAGTAGACAGGAGACCATATTTTCTTGTAAGCATATTAAATTTTTAAAGGACATTTAATAGCATAATAAATAAATTTTATTGAGCAAATACTATGCAGTGCAGTGCTAACTGCTTTCCTAATATGTTTGTAAACATAAAAATCATCCCTTAAGATAAATGATTCCCATTTAGAAATGAAAAAAGTGAGACTCAGGCCAGACCCGGTGGCTCATGCCTGTAATCCCAACACTTTGGGAGGCCAAGGTGGGTGGATTGCATCAGCCCAGGAGTTCAAGATCAGCTGGGCAACATGGAGAAACCCAGTCTCTACCAAAAAACACACAAAATAGCTGGGCGTGGTGACAAGCCCCTGTAATCCGAGCTACTAGGATGGCTGAGGCAGTAGGGTAGCTTGAGACCTGGAGGTCGAGGCTGCAGTGAGCTGTGATTGTGCCACTGCACTCCAAAAAAAGAGCCACTGAACTGTCTAAAAAAAAAAAAAAGTGAGGCTCAGAGGTTAAGTAATGTGCCTCAAATTACATAGCTTTTAGATAATAATGCGGGCATTCCACCAAAGGATCAGTGGCCCGGAGCCACAATACTGCCCACTGTCTTCAGAAAGTGGTTTAGGAGCAAAGCCTTTAGATGAGAAACACCTAGATTTGAATCCCAGCTCTGCCTCACATTAGCTGGGTGTAATCTTAACTTCCTCATCTGTTTCATAAAGTTATTGTGGGAATTAACTTAAGCAATGCAAACAGAGAACTAAGCACTGTGTCTGACAATATACTGCAAATGTGTAAACTATAGTAATGAGTTTATTAATCAAAGATCTCAAAATATTTTCTGATGATAGATTAACAAATGTGTTAGAAGTTACAGAATTAATTTTTTTTTTACAATTGAGAAGAATGAATCATCTCATATCACTACAAGGTTGTATCTTACTCTGTGAATAGGTGTGTTTGCTTTTGGCCTTGGCTCTAATGGCTTGTAAGGGAAGTTATTTTGTAAGCACATCAGATGGGGAACTAAGTCCTTAACAAAATACCATTTGAGAAAATGTAAGAGGTGATGCCTAAAGAAGGTGATGACAAAAATAAGTTGGTTTAAAGTAACAACTGTGCCTTTAGAGCAGGAAATACTCTATTATTTTTTCCTTCTCCCCTATATCACTAAGGAAAAATGTTGTTCTGATTCTAATGATAGCTCTTCTTTTATTATTCCCTATATCAAAAAAAAAATGTAGCCTCTCTGAGCTCATTTGACTAGGACTTGCCAAACTTCAGTGTTTTAGATGGTGTAGAGAAGATTTTAAATGAATGGCAGAGTTCCATTAAAATGCTACTGTGATCTCTTAATATCACTTCTCTACATTTCTGTTTACCTCAGTTCCTTGGCCTAACTTCTAAATATAGTTATGAGTTCTAATGTCTTTAAACAGGGACTGCTATAAGTAAACTATCTCTTAAAGTTTCATGTAATTTAATGTAATTTATTAGATAAAAAAGGATAATTCTGAAATTAAGGGGCCAAAGCACTAAAATACTTGGTCTATGTTCAATATTTTCACATCCATTTCATTTAATCCTCATAATAACATTTTGACATAGGTAGTCCTATGCTCATGTTCATTAATGGGCAATAAACTCAGAGACACTAAATAGTTTATCTAAGTTAATATGACTAATTGCAAGATTCAGAATTCAAATTTAGATCTGACAGCTGTTCTCATACATTGAGTTTTCTCAAAGTCGGCTTCTCAAGCAGGATTCTAGAAACACATCTATTTATATGAATCTTTATTAGAGTTCTAATAGAAACTTAGATTTCAACCTTAACTATGATACTAGATATGACCTAAACACTAAATTTTTTGTGTTAGCATATCCACCTACAAAATGAACACTAGTGTTTGCTTTTCTCTACCTCACAGAAATTTCATCAGGATATGTAGGTAATCTAAGATGAAGCTTTATAGGAGACAGATACCACATAGCCAGGATTCTTGTGTTTGGTTTTTATTATTATTCCCTAGAGCTGCATATGTTTGTAATAGAGGCTTCTGTATTATGGACCGAACACTGTTGCTCTTTCTTTAAAAACAAAAATATAAAGAAACTGTGGCATGATTCCACTGGTGGTTTACCTATGTAATTTTATACTGACAGATCATGTATTTGATTTGATTTAACAAGCATTCACTAAAATTGCAGAAAAATACTAAGTGATTAAATTGGTCTAAACAAACATCTCAGGTAAAATATTTTTACTTACCTATCTCAAATACAGACCTTTAATCATGGAGTTTAATTAATTTTCTGTGATTTCTTGACTAATACAATATGACCTAAGTCTTAGCTGAACACCATTCTTTGAAGTAAAAATCGTCAGAGAGAAAGGATACTTTCTTTGACACTGATAATAGATGTAGGCCTCCCTCCTTCTTTCTTGGAATTTTGTTGCAAATATTATCTGTATTATTTATCTCAGAAAATGATTTCTTTACAATATATAGGCTCATCATCTAGACATGATTACCATAAGATCTGTCTTAAATTATTTTTTAATCTCAAAGTAGAAGTGACAACATTAAATATTTTTTAAGAATAATAATAACAAAAACAATGTCTCGGAGAGATTCAATCTAATTCTTTCATACCTAAATGTCTGAATATAATTTATACTTAAGATCATATCTAGAGCTGGTTCCACGGGGTAATGGTGAACACTCTGGACTCTGAATACTTAAGATCATATCTAGAAGTGATATGCTCACTATCAGTGGTTCGCATGTAACTCTGAAGAATATTTACCATGATGTCTACTTATCCTTAAATGTTAGGAAAAAATTATTTCCAAGTAATATCAAACCTAAAATTTTGGCACTATTTAATTGCAGTTGGTATTTACCATAAAATATCCACCGACTTGGCCATTCAGTTATAAATGAGTTCGAGAGAGACACAGAATTATGAACCTTCTAAATCATGAAACATGTTTAATCAAGCAAGAGTCTGCCTAGTTAAGATTCAGAATTTACATTAAAGTTTATAATCTAAATACTTACGTCATTCCAATGGTCTCCAGTGGCATTTCAGTAGTTCCTATTCACCTCTTCCTCTATATTAATTCTTAATTAATATATTCTTAAACTTCATATTTCCTCTTTTGATTTTTGACTGTCTTAAAATATTCTTAAACTTCATATTTCCTCTTTTGATTTTTGACTGTCTTGATAGTGAAATACACACACATGCTTTTCAGATGAATCACTTACCTCAGAGCATTATTTTCAAATACATTCAACCATATATGAAAGTGGCACTGTATTTAGAAATCTTTTAAAATTTCAAGTTTCTTGTATATACATACCAGCACCGTCTGTTTTAATTCTGTTAGATGGTATACTGGGCTCTCCTCTACCCAGTGTATTGGTTGCTACCACGCGGAATTCATACTCCATCCATGGGATTAAGTCCACTGCTCTTGCTGCCTCCATATTTCCTTCAATAATTGGGGGATCTGAATAAAATAAATAGTAAATAGAGAATACAGGTTGATTAACTTATCACTTTTATAACTTCCCTTTTTATTTTACTATTTCAGGGAGAATGGTATATATTACACTGAGTTGAAGTAAAAACTACAACTAGGAATGACAAAATGTTAAATTCAAGGGAGTAAGAGAAGAGGTTTAATATATAATAAACTTACAAAGAGTGATATGCATATGAATCACCTATGTAAGTAAGTTTGAGGCAGGGAGTCTGCAATTCTGCATGTCTAACAAGCCTCCAGGCTTGGTGCTAGTCCATGAGCTGCACCTTGAATAGCAAGGAGCTGTATTCTGAAGGTGCAATCTAAAAAGATTTCCTGAGATAAAGGTACAATTGGAGCAGCAAAATTTTATGTATTGCCACTGATATAGTCTATGGCTAGCAAACGATTTATAACTAGGTAGAAAAGGTTAATGTTTATATCCTTTTTACTTGGTTTTATAGATTTATACTCAAATCATTTGGACAAGTGATAATAAATGTCATAATAATTTTATTAAGATTTGTTAAGTATCCCTCAGAATTCATGCTACTAGATACTAATATAGATTAGATGATAAATTATGGGTGGAATGTGATCTTAGCTTGCTTATTTAATTGAGGTATAATAAAACATGCAACCAAGGTAGATCTGTGCATTATTATAAGCTTGCCTCAAATATTTCCACGAGTTTTTAATAATCAACCTATCCATATAAATACCTGTACCTGTAGGCTTGTCTATGACGCAATATCTTATCATTTAGGGAAGTTTTATCTGGCAATGTAGACCATGAATACATAATTTTTAAAGATGACGTGTCCATCAACACAATAAATGCTAAGCACCCCAGGGTCCAGTTTCTACTTTTGGACAAATTCTCGCATGGCTCAGACTGTCCCATCTCACCCTGCCATAATTTTAACTCTGCTAGACACTACTTTTGCCATCTAATTTCTTATTTTGTTATGGATTTGTTCTGTAGATTTGACATATATTTTTGACTTTCTGATTAAAATTTTCCCTTTACCTTCGCCTCTGTTTTGATTTATTAAGATTCATTAAGGATTTCTACCTCTTTATCTCCTCTTTCACTCCTCCCTCACACCAAATCGGAAACTGTTTGTTTTAATTCACATGCATAAGGACATTTTTCTAGGTAATTGAAAGAAGTAAAGTGAAGTTTTGGTTTGTGAAGGGCTGTTTACAGAGTGAAGTGATAACTGATAACGCTGAGTAAGGTAGCCTTTTTGTTTGTTTGTTTGTTTGTTTGTTTTGAGACGGAGTCTCACTCTGTCACCCAGGCTGGAGTGCAGTTGCGTGATCTCTGCTTACTGCAAGCTCTGCCTCCTGGGTTCACGCCATTCTCCTGCCTCAGCCTCCCGAGTAGCTGGGACTACAGGCTTATGCCACCAGGCCCGGCTAATTTTTGTATTTGTAGTAGAGACGGCATTTCACCGTGTTAGCCAGGATGGTCTTGATCTCCTGACCTCGTGATCCACCCACCTTGGCCTCCCAAAGTCCTGGGATTACAGGCGTGAGCCACCATACCCGGCCAAGGTAGCCCTTTTTTACTGGACACTTTTCAATGATTTTAACCCCTTATAGAAAACAGGCTGTATTGGGTTAAATGGTACCTTTCTCCACCCAAAAAATGTCCATGTCCAAATTACCAGAACCTGTAAATGTTATCTTATATGGAAAAAAAAAAAGGCTTGGCAGACCCTCAAATTAAGGTTGTAAGTGTTAAGAATCTTAGGGTAGGATTATCCTAAATTTTCTAGGTGGGCTCTAAATCCAATGACAAATGTCTTTATAAAAGAAAGACACAGAGAAGAGTCACACCTAGAAGAGCAGAAGGCCATGAGACCACCAAGGTAGATATGAAAGTGATGTAGCCACAAGCCAAGGGATATGTGGAGCCATCAGAAGCTGAAAGAAGCAAGGAATGGAGCCTTTGGAGAGGATGCAGCCCTGCCACCACCTTGATTTTGGTCTCCAAACTATGAGAGAGTAAATTTCTGTTGTTTTAGGCTAACAAGTTTATGTTAATTTGTTGGCAACCCTAGAAAACTAATACTGAACCTTAAAGGCAGAAGCTGATGGAGCTATTTGTGAGTTTATAATTCTTGAGTTTGGCAGGGGTTGAGGGGTGTACAGTACAAAAGTGTTTTAGGAGGCTTGAGGCAGTCTGACCTGCTCCCCTGCTTCCTAGTCCCAAAACTCCAGCACAATTTAAGGGTTTTAAGGATGGAAATGTTGGAAGCATTTTAAAGAATGAGGATATTGTGTTCTTATGATAGTCAAGGCTACACTGGGGCTTTTCCAGGAAGCTGGGAGGTCAACAGGTAAGGGCAGGTATCTGCTAGGACAGACAAAGAAGAACCAGGTGGATGTGTGGAGAAGCTGCAGTTGATTGACTGATTTTGAGTGCATATAAAAAGTGTGAGGATCCAGTATGAAAATATCCCAAACAAATGGAAGACATTTTCATAAAGTAGAAGATCATAGTTGACCACCAAAAATATGTGAAGGAATGATGGTAGGTAAGGCAAGAAAAGTCAACAGGAGTCATTTTATGCTAGATCTGGATTCCAGCTGAGGAGCCAAGGCTTTGATTTTAACGAGTGAGATGAAGAAAGGAAGAATAAGCAACCAGACTCAGAGTCATGACCTCAAGCAGGTGGACCCTAGGAAGAACCCCTTGGTCCAAAGACGCATAAAACTCTCTCAAAGGGGGAAAACGAAGTGCAAGTTAAGGGGATGGAATTCCAGAATGGACATTCTGAATTATTAAGGAAGGAATTTGCTGTAAATATTTAAAAATAGTATTCCCACCAGGATTACTAATAGCTTGACAACTCTTCTTTTTAGAACAAACCCAATTATTCTTCTTCTTGATAATTTATATTAACATCAGTACCTACGAGAATACAAATATCTAAAACAAACATGTTTTGGTAGATAGTTATAATATCCCCTCAATAAAACCATCTATGTAAGTAGTAGGAATAATTTAGCAAAAACATGATTAACGTCTATCATTTTTAAAAGATGTACCAAGAATTAAAAGTGTCTCTTCTCTCTAAGCTGCTTTCACTTCTGCAAATCTCGGTGGCACTTCTGACCCCAACCACATCAGAAGTACATAATTTAAAACACTTTCTGTCTATTTTCCCAGCTCTTATCTTGAGCTAAGTAGCCCATATCATCACTACAAATGGAACTCCAAGACTGGCTAGGTCCACATGAGGCCCACACTCAATATACTTCTTCTGTCTCCCCCTTGCTTGTTCCTAGCTATCATTTGTGGCCATGTATACATTTCTTCTACTTTTTATTCATGTTTTGAAACCCCTCAGGGCCTAGTATGCCCAGCATGATGTTTTACAAATAGAAGTACTTAATACATTTTTGCTTAAAATATATATGTAATACAAATTCTAAAGTTTGTGTCTATTTAGAGTGGACAGTGTCTCAATGCAAGAAGCATAGCTTTGTCTATATCAATCACTTTAGTGTCTTCTCCATCCTTGAATCAGGCAGGTAAGAGAAGGAGGGCACTGTTTTACCTTGCCCCACCACATAATATCCATCACTCCATGACTCTATATTGTCATGTATTCAGCCCATAAATTGTCCTGTCCTGTCTAAAGCAGATAGTACTACTCTATCTTCTTAAGGCCTCTTCCTTTCCCTTCAATTGTGAGTTGATTCTCATTTATCTCTTCCACTGCCGCTTTGTATGCTTTTTAAAAACATGGTTTTACTTTTAAAACACATTTTATATGTTTTATTGTGAGCCCTAAATGTCTTCATAAATGGACTTGTACCTAATGCAATCTTCTTTCCTATTCCTTAAGCCCTGGTAGGAACTATTGGATCCTTTTCTCTTCTTCTCTTTCTTCTTTTTTTACTGCTTCCAAAATCACCTATGCAGTTTGGGAGCAGAGGCCTGCTCCCTAAAGAAGTCAGCTTTGCTTTGGAAGCAGATTTATGCCTCAAGCCAAATGAAGAGAAACAGGAACGGAGAGACTTTGTGTCCTTTTTCTTCAGCCAAGTTCCTTGCAACCTGTTTGTTATTCTTGGAGCCAGAAAGAGAGTAAAGTACTTTGCATAATGGAGGCAAATACTGGGGATGGATCAGGAGCAGACCTTGTTCTAGACCTGATTTTTAACCGGGTCAGTTCTGAGTCAGGCAATACAGTTAATCTCAGCAGTGAAAAATCAGATCTTAACAGTATAATGCCTGTTAGAGGCATCTCTCTTTTAAAAAAAACTAAACTTTGTGTATTAAATGGGTAGTTCTTTAAAAATTTGTTTTACTTTTAGTGTAAATTTTAAGCAAAGAGATATAAAGCAGGAGACCTTAGTTCTTACTTTAGTACTTAGGCCAAAGTACTCAGTTTAGCAACCAGCTGTAAGCAATAATTCAAAGATCTATTTACAAATGCCTTGAGGCCCTAAGGCTTAGAATAAAAAGAAGTTTCCACCATTCTTTGAGGAAAAGAGAATCAAGCCTCATGGGTATCATAAGACCAATAATTCATTGTGTTTTAGTTGCCTGGAAATCATGCTCGTGGTACCCTGCCTTTAGAGCACACTGATTAATTGTTTGAGCAGCTTTGGAAACAGCCAGAATGACTTCAGGACTAAAAAACAGATTGTGTCAAGAATAACTCCAGCCAATGTAAGCCCCTCCATTGTAGACTTTTACAAGTTACCTGAGTGAGTCCTGGTATTTCTTTAAGATCCGAACACAAGCAGAATCTTTGATGTCCCCCATTTCAATCTAAAACCCAAATATTTGTAAGTACGCAGAACAAACCTACTCACTCAGAGATTCTAAATAAAAATTCAGGTGTCTGTTTGAGACTGGAAATGAGAATTTAAAGGCTTCTCACTGGTTCTAACGCACCTACTCAGTCTTATGTTACAGGTCCTAGACCCAACCCATGGATCGCCTGGCAGGACTCTGGAAGGAGCCATAGGTTAGGCAAATTTCCATGAAGCAAAAGTAAAGCAAGCTGTGTTCTGGCATCTCAGAAGGTGTGAATCCTTGATCCTTCTCTAAGGGAAATACGAATGTAGCCTCATAAAAATCTAGAAATTCATGTTTGAAATGAGAACTACAAAAACTGAAGAAACAGAAAGGCAAAAAAAAAAAAAGGATACTGTCCTACAATAAACCTAGAGAGTTTTCATTTTTAAAAAGATAATACTAATACTAGGTAAAGATATGGCAGAAGAGATACTCAAATACTGATGATGGGAATAAAAACTGGTTCTACTTTATTGCAGAGCGATTATATAATACAGCTCATGGGTTTTGGCTGTTTACACTCAACAATTTAATTTACAAATATCTATTTTAGGGAAATAATCTAAAGTATAGAGAAACATTTATGTGCAAAGATGTTAACTGCAGAAAAATTTTAATAATCAACTCAGTCTTACATAACACAGAAATTTAAATATAAACATATTTTCTTCATGTTGCATAATCTATTCCAGGTTCTCTTAACTATTTCTCATAGCATGGTTACTATGCCTCTTCATGTTCTGGCCAACATCTTCTTACATACACACACACCATCACTAACAATATTCTATCATTTGTCCGCTGAAAACAACAGCATAGAATCAAACACAATTTTCTAACAACGACCTGAGCATCTTGTACAACTCCAGGAACAGCATCAAGCTGTCTGCTGTCCATCTGCTAAAAACAGTCCAAGAGAAGTAAAATTTACAATAGATTGCCTTAAAAGTACATAGTCTATTTCTTCATCTCATTATTCTAAATTTAATCTTTGGAACACTGAAAATTGATATCTTTGAAACATATTTATTTCATATCTTAAGTATTTACCTTCATGAAGCTGAATTTAATCCTGTACCTTTGTTTCCTAGTGGTCACATTATAAATAAAAACCATATGATTTTTATTTCTGTATTTGTTGCAGAAAATATTTTTCACTTCCACTTAGGATGCAGTCACAAGAGAACTTCACTAGTACACTAACAAAAACAACACATAGATAATCTATAAACCACCATCTTTCAAAGCCCATTAGAGAGCTGAGTTTGTGAAGACACAATGGACTAAAATTCATCATTGGTAGAACAGTGATGAAAGAAGGTTGTAGTCACAGATGTTAGCAAGAAGAAAACAGTTTAACTTCTAACAGATATTTACAGACAAAGTATAGGCTGGTATGGCTGTTTAAAAACGTGGGGAGATCAAAGAACAAGGAGAATCTATAGTAATTTGACAATTATTTTTCATAGGCCTTCATCATGTGTACTCAAGAAAGTTTTGGGGCAGAACAAAAGAGCCAAAAAAGACTTCCCTCTGCGGCACCGATACTACAAACATGAGATAGTGGCAGGAGTGCTGAGAGAGATCTGCTTCCCCTTGAGGGACAGGTGCTTTGGACCTGTTGAAGTCTAAGGGAAGAGAAGGAGAACTGAGTAAAAAGCCCGAGCACTCTGGGCTTTAGACTGATTATCAGCAGCAGGTATCTGGGCAGAAGCAGGGGAACTGAAAGAGCCCTCTGTGGGGTCCAACGTAGAAGAGTCTGCCGAAATCTGATAGCAGGACAGGAAAACCTCCAGACACTCAGATATGTAGGAGGTCTGATCATACATTCGAATTACTTGAAGCCTGTGCTAAACTGAATCTAACAATGCTCAGATCATCTCAACTACAAATCTGATTGACTCAGTCCCTAAAGTAATGACATGCACTTTCCCAGACATCAATTAATATTTACTTTAGTAATCACTGTTCTTCTATACACAATGTTTGGAATTGAGCAAAAAGTTATCAGACACATGAGCAAACAAAGAAATATGACCCACTGTCAAGAAAGAAAAAATAAATCAACAGAGCTAGACTTTAAGATGGTCTAGATGTTTAAATCATCTCATAGGGTTTTAGCATAACTATGTTAAGTATGTAAAAATGTCAAGTGGAAAACATGCACAACTTGTATAAACAAATAGGAAATTCCCATGGAATATTATGTGAACAATATTAAAAGCAGCCAAATGCTAGAAATAAAAATTCCTGAACACAATAAAGCAGAAGGTCAAAAGTATTTTAATGGGATTATTCACAGACCGAATCCAACAAAATAAATTATCTATGTAAGCAAGAGAGGAAATTAGCCATTATCCATACAGAAACACAGACACGCAGATAAACAGACACATGCGTGCGTGCACACACACACACACAGACACACACACACTGTCCATTATCTGTGGAACAACATCAAACAATCTAACATATGTGTCAAGAGAAACCAAGAAGAGAGAGTAGAGCAGAGGAAATATTTCAAGAGGTAATGAATGGCTAAGAATTTTCCAAAGTTGAAGAAAATATCAACCTAAGAATACAAGAAGCCAAGCTCCATTAGGATAAATGCATTTTATCAAGCTGAAAAGCAAATACAAAAAGAAATCTTGAAGCAGTCACATAAAAGGGACATATCAAGTGCAGGGAATTATGATTAAAACAATAACTGACTTCTCACCCAAAACAATGGAGACAAAAGACAACAGAACAATGTTTTTAAAGTGATCAAAGTAAAATGAAGAGCAATTTGGATTTTGTATGAAATAAAAATAATACTTAAAGATGAAATTAAAGACATTTTCTGATAGAAAAAATGTAAAAACCTTTGAGTCCAACAACCTGAACAATTTGAAATGCTATAAGTTTCTTAGTAATGCAAATTATACCAGATAAAAAAAGAGTTTTACAGAAAGGAATGAGGAACCCAGATATAATAAATATACTGGTAAATATAAAGGGATTTTGAGACACTTTTCAGCAAATAGAATAGAAAACAATCTTCTCAGCCTAAAAAAGGCATCTAAGATGACATATTCAAAGCAGTGAAAAAGAAAAGAAAAACAAAAACTGTCAACCAAGAATATCATATCCAAGCAAATATATTTTAAAACCAAAGGCAAAATGCACTCCTAGATAAACAAAAACTGAGAGAAACTGTTAGTAAAAGACTTATCTTACAAAAAAAAATTAAAGTTCTTCAAGTTGAAAGTAGTTGATCCCAAACAGCAATTTGAATAAACTCCCCCAAAATAATGAGCATTGGTAAAGGTAATTTTGTAATTATAAAAGATGATATAAATACTTATTTTTTCTTCTATCTTCTCTTAACTTATTTAAAAGTAATTGTAGAAAACTATATATGTATGTATATATATTCACACATATGTTGTGCATTTATATATGCATGTATATATATAATTGTCTTATTGGATCTATAATATATTTAAATGTAATATATTTGATACTAGCTGCACAAAGGGGACAGGTAGGAGCAAAGTTGTAAAGAAATCATATCAGATGGTGATACATAGTTGGTATATTTGTCCACTCTAAATCTCATGTTGAAATTTGATCCCCAATATTGGAGGTGGGGCCTAATAAGAGGAGTTTGGGTCATGGGGGTGGATTCCCAATGAATGACTTTGTGCCTTTCTTCCAATAATGAGTGAGTTCTTGCTTTATTAGCTCATGCAAGAACTGATTGTTACGAAGAGCCTAGCACCTTGCTTCTCTCTTTGTTGCTCCCTCTCTCACCATGTGACAAGCCAATTTGCTTTCACCATGAATGAAAGCTTCCTGAAGCCCTCACAAGGAGCAGATGCTGGCACTATGATTCTTGTATATCCTGCAGAACTGTGAGCCAAATAAAACTCTTTTCTTTCAAAATCACCCGGCCTCAGATATTTCTTTATAGCAATGCAAAATAGACTTAGACAGATGAAATTCAAATCAACATGAACAAGTGAGGAGGATTAGAAGTAGTAAATATAAAGGATAATATAACAGACAAATTAACAAAGGATAATATAAACATATTGGTTTAATAGGCAAACATTTATAGAAAGTGATAATATTAATATAAGATTATTGGGTTTGTGACATATAGAGATGTAATATATATATTTATATATATTTCACTGAGTATAAAAGTGTTTCCCCTAGATAGCTTTATTTCATCTTCCTCTTTTGTGCGTAATATATTTAATCCTCTGTGTGTGAGTAATATATTTAATAATATATTACTAAATATTAATATCATATATTATATGCTATTATAGCAATATATATATTACTATATATGACATAGCATATAATAAAATATGCTATAATAGCATATAATAAAATATGCTATAATAGCATAAAATAAAATATGCTATAATAGCATATAATAAAATATGCTATAATAGCATATATAACAAAATATTAATATACAGTATTATAGTAATATATAACTATATTACTATATATGCTATTAATATATAGTAATATAATATATAGTATATATATATAGTACTGTAATAGCACAAAAGAGGAAGAATGAAATAGAACTATGTAGGAGAAACACTTTCATATTCACTGAAAATTTAAGCTAATAAAATTATAAAACCTATTCTGATAAATTCAAATGTATCTGGTAAGCCCTAGAGTATTCATTAAGTATGTATGTGTTTGAATATACACATGTATAGTGAATATAAACTTCCCTTCAGAGCAGGATTATACATATACACACATACACACATACACTCACACACACACACACACACACACACGGTGAATATCATCAAAGGAATTAAAATGTTACACTAGAAAATGCTCACTTCTTCCAAAAGAAAGCAGTGAACAAGGAAAAGAGGAACAAAAATAGTAAAATATTTAGAAAGCAAAAATACAATGCAGCTACAATCCAACTGTATCAATAATAACATTAAATGTTAATTGATTAATTCAATCAAAAGGCAGAGACTATCAAACTGGATGAAAAATCCAACTATATGTGGCCAACAGAAAACATACTTTAGATTCAAAGACCCAAATTCAATGAAAGTAGAAGAATTGGAAAAGATATATAATGGAAATAGGAACTTTCAGAAAGCAGCAGTGGCTATTACTAATATCAGAAGTACCCTATTTACTTATTTATTTATTTTATTATACTTTAAGTTCTAGGGTACATGTGCACAATGTGCAGGTTTGTTACATATGTATACATGTGCCATGTTGGTTTACTGCACCCATTAACTCATCATTTACATTAGGTATATCTCCTAATGCTATCCTCCCCCCTCCCCCCACCCCAAGACAGGCCCCGGTGTGTGATGTTCCCCACCCTGTGTCCAAGTGTTCTCATTATTCAATTCCCACCTATGAGTGAGAATATGAGAAATACCCTATTTAAAACACATCTCCTACTTCCCCATTCCTCTTTTCTGTTGTTTCTCTCTAGCATTCATCACCACATGACTTACTATATATTTTAATTCTGTATTGGCATCTCTTCTACTATAATATAAGCTCCTTGAAGACAGGTTTTATTGTTGTTATTATGTTCACTGCTACTCACCTATACATACTGCATCTAGAATAGGTTCTGGCACACAGTGGGGACTCAATAAACATGTTTAATGAATGAGCACTGTGGGCCCTGATATAGGTGCTAGAGATAGAACAGTGAATAAAACAGTTTTTACCTTCATGGAACTTACTTTCTAGTGGATATTTTAAAATAAGAAGCATATTTAAATTGAGCTACATAGTAAGCATACATAAATAATGAAAATGATTGCAATTAGTATTTCTTTTTTCAGGGCCAAACCAAATTTAAACCATTTACTTATTTTAATGTGGCTAGATTTCTAATAGTTTCATTATTATCATACTTTTCCATTCTCTTCAGAAAAGTAGAAACTGCCCATGCTTTAGGTTTATAAAGTATCTAAAAGGTTTTTAAAATTATTTTTCAGATGATCTGATTTTGTCAAGAATATTTACAGATAATTCTTAAAACAATAAGCATAATGTAATGGAAATATTTCACCTATTTCTAATTTATTGCAACTTTATACACTTAGGTGGGGAATCATCTGATATTAAAATATATCCTAAATCCTTGCAACAGACCTCAAGTTTATATTTGATTTATTTCCCTGGAGGGAGAGAAGTATCAAATAGAAGTAAATTTAAATTAAAATATCTTAGTGAGCAATACAAATATAGGCATTTTGGAAATGGGATTTCCATTATGTTAAGATAAATCTAAAATGAAAGCAGATTTGGGAGATTAGAGTATTTTTTTTTTTTTTAGTTTTTTAAAAAGGAGGAACATTTTATTCACACACTCGTGTCTCATTTCTCCTCTTGTGACAACTGGGAAAATATTTCTATGTCTCCTCTTTTCCATCTTAAAGAATTCTGGCAATGACAAGTTTGTTTAAAAATATTGTCAAAAGTTACAAAGATAAACAGGTTATTTTATCAAAAAGGTCTTCAATCTTCCATTTTACAGGAGAAAATATATGTATTAATGTGTGATATTGTAGGCTAGTCATGACAAATGGCAAAGTTGTAGACAAAGGAAAGTACCCACTTATTCTTAGTTAATTTTTCCCGATCAACTTTAGAAAATCTTAATATAAGAAAAGAAAAAGGTTGAAAGATCCAAAATGTCTTTAAAAATCTGTTTTGAGGAAATTCAAACCGGGTGAGATCATTCACATAAAGGGTTATAGTAGTAAGATTTGGATGCTTAATTTAAGATTTATGATCAATGTGGTTTTTTAGAAATTCAGAACTATAGTACATATATACCCAAATAAAAAGGGTCATAAATACTATGCTATAAATGCTATTTGCTCAAAAATAGACTTCCCGATGATTTTGGGGCAGTAAATCTCACACAAAACTCAAGTAAGAAACCCAGGAGGCCTCATTTTGCTTTCCATTATATATTGATTTAGAAATGATACTTCTTTTTCTATAGCTTTAACACATTTAAATGTGTAAATTCTATGTAATTTTCTTCATTACCAAAATATTAGAATACATTTTAAAAAATTTAAGAAAGAAAGCCTTTCAAGGTAGATAATGACATTTTTAAAACCTCCAAATTTTTGTTTTTGAGAAAAGAATTCACTTTGAAAACATGCACGGATTAATCAGACAAATAAAACTCACCTGTCTTTGCATCTTTCCAGTCATCTGAAAGAATAGTCTTGGTCTGGATAGTGTATTTAGAAATAGGACTATGATTGTCTGAACCACGGCTCCAAGTAAGTGCCACAGAAGTGGCTCTAATGTCTTCTATTCTCAGACCACCTGGAGGGCCTGGAGGGCCTGAAATGAAAATGTGGGTAATGAATCAGTGAATTCCATCTAGTGAGTCAAACACACATTAGAATATAAAAATGTCTTCTAACCATTAATCTAAAGAACATTTGTCCAATATAATCAGTGTGTCTGCATTTCTTTTAAATATAGATTATAAGAAGTGATATCATTTGTAGTTTTCACTGAATGATTTCATGTATCTCTTTTTAAGGAAGGGGATAAATGCTATCATTTAAAAATGACATTGTTATGCAGATATAGTAATCTCTGACTCATTATATGCAATTGGCACCAAGGGGACCTAACAGATTGTAGCATAGCATGATTTAATGAATTCTTGCTGAATGCATGAATCAGATGGTAGCACAATTCAGTTTAGATATGGGAACATTTGGTCTATTGTCATTCTGCCTCCCCAGAACTGAACACATCCTCTTTGTTCTTTGTGGCTTTTTTTTTTTTTTTTGAGTTAGGGTCTCACTCTGTCACCCAGGCTGGAGTGCAGTGGGGATGATCATGGCTCACTGCAGCCTCTCCCTGCCTCCCCAGCTCAAGAGATCCTCCCAGCTCAGCCGCCCAAGTAGCTGGGACTACAAGCACTCCACAACACCCAACTAATTTTTGTGTGCATGTGTGTACTCTTTTGCAGAGACTGGGTTTCACCGTGTTGTCCAGGCTGGTCTCCAAGTTCTGGGCTCAAGTGATCCTCATGCCTAGGCATTCCAAAGTGTTGGGACTACAGGTGTGAACCACCGCACTGGCCCACATACTTTCTTATAACTCTAAATGTTATAGGTAATTCATTTTACTTGAAGTGGAAATTTCTGGGAATAATTTCATGTATCATTTTGCATAATACATTTCATGTTAGTTATAGTCATAAGAATAAGTAATATTAAAAATGTTTCTACTTATATAATATATAGAAAATAATTGTCAATTCAGAGATATACCAGGAATGCTCTTAAAACCTCAAATTATATTGAAGAGTCTTAGAAGAATTGTTCTGGCAGAACAAAAAACAATGTTAAAAATAGGTTTTCATAGATGCTTCATAACTCAGTACCAATATGATTCCTTTTTCCTTTCAACAGTGCACTGTGCTGGGAAATAGAAATTAAAAGATAAGTGAGACACAACTTTTTGGGCTTTGAAGAGCTTTTTGTCTTCAAATAAGACAAATAAAAATAAGAGAAAAATGTCCTTTAAGTGGTGAAGTGGCATCTATCACTTCAAAAGCTAAAGAAGTCTCTCAGTTAATAGACAGCTCCTAGTATAGACATTTCAGAATGTTTATAACTAAACATACATATCACTTGTTCTATTTGCACCAGAAAGGAGTCCACCCCCAATTGATTTAGGCATATTTAATATAATAATTAATAATTTTTATTAAGTAGCACCATCATTTTTCATAATTAATGTAATACTAAAGAGGACATTTGTCTTTATCTTTCAGCTGAAATATATACCTTTATATTTATATATCAGTTGGGTTGCTTAGCTTAGATGGCCTTTTTCTTTATAAGAACATTGGTATTTGCAGAGGTATGGCCAACACCCCAAACCTTCACCCATTTCCTTAAAGTGGTCCCAAGAAAGAAAGTGTGTGCAGATCAACAAAAACACATCACCACCAATGTTAAAATAACACAAGACACATACCCTATCCATGACAGTAAATTTTATTATTTGGAAATATATCACATATAAGAAAAGCAAGCGAACTTTTATAAATTTGTAACCTATAATAGTATACTTAGACTTCTTAATGTTAAATAATTGAAAATAGACACATAACAGAACACATTTGATATTCAGAGAGAACATATTGCATTTTTCATATGTAAGAAAACACATTGAAATACAGTGTACATTCTTGATCAGAACCAAGAAGTTCATTACTTCACATAATGCAGCATCCTAAGTCAATTACTAAGTAGAATATTTCAGAGTGTTAAAATAAAAAATTAGAGGTGAATAATAAAAGAATTTCTCAAATGAAGAAAAAGCCCTGTAATGCATGCATTCAGTTACTTTTTCTGAGCATAGGGGTATGGCATTCAGAAAACGTTAAAGGGAATTTAAGACAAAATTATCATAGGTTAGTCATTAACCATTAAAATGTAAATCATTTCCCTGCTGTTATTCTCTGATGTTCTTGAGGTGTCAAATGAGTAATATTTCATAAAGGTCAGAATAAAGCTGCATATTATTAGTGTATTTGTTGAGACATTATATGCATAATAATTCAGTCATCCACTCATTTAAGGGTAATATTGTTGAGCAAAACACTATAATTATACTTGTCCATTGTTTTCTCGGATACATGTCTGGCTTATGGTAGGTTCTTCATAAATATTTGGTGTATAGATAAATAAATTTATTATAATTAATGTTCAGGCAGTTCTGTAAACATAATTGTCATCCACAATACAGTCTTCATTTTTCCAATTGTCTTGAAATACTATATCATCATGAAGAGGTGGAATCGAGAAGACAAATGGAAAGGGTTGTGTTGGTATCTTCAAAACCCTGGTGTGGGAATTTTACTCGGTAATGGTTCCACTGATATGAAGTAGATTTTTCCATCTAGTAATTGCCTACAAATATCTCCCCAAAAATGCCTGAGAAAAATAATACTATTAAAATCATAATTGTATTAAAAAACAGGGATTTTAGAATTAAGATAGACTCAGCTTTCAGTTCTGTGCCCTGATTTATCTTGGGCAAGTTTCTTAAAATCGTTAAGTTCCTGTTTACTCATCTGTAAAACAAGAGTAATAAAAACCGAACATATAGGATTGTTTTTAGGCCAGGTGTGGTAACTCACGTCTATAATCCCAGCACTTTGGAGGCCAAGGCAGGTGGATTACCTGAGGTCAGGAGTTCAAGAACAGCCTGGCCAACATAGTGAAACCGGATCTCTACGAAAAATACAAAAATCAGCTGGCATGGCAGTACACACCTAATAATCCCAGCTATTCAGGAGGCTGAGACAGGAGAATTGCTTGAACCTGGGAGGCAGAGGTTGCAGCGAGCCAAGATTGCGCCACTGCACTCCAGCCTGGGTGACAGAGTGAGACTCCTTTTCAAAACAAAACAAAACAAAACAAAACAAAACAAAACAAAACAAAACAAAACAAAACAGATGATTGTTAGGACTGAAATAATGTCCTTAAAGAATGTAGTTCTCAGCCTGGTACATAGAAAGCCATCAGGAAACCTTATCTATTAACAATATTATTATTGTCATTACTTCTTTAAAAGATTTCTGAGCATCTTAGCTACCTGGCAGGAGTTATTAATTAGTACTTTGTCAGTCATTCCAGGGATCTGTTTACAGAGTATTCATTTACCACTTATTACTTAAAAGAAAGCAGGGACAGTAAACCAAAAATAAAATTCTAAGCCCCCCAGCCATCTGAAAGGAACCCTTTTCTTGGCAAGGGCAGTCCAAAAGTAACCTGAAAAACTAGTTCAGGAAGTGATGGGAAGGGGCAGCCAGACATGCCTCATTACACCCTCCTCCCTTTGGGAATTATTGATAGAACAGACTTCTTAAGTCTAATAAGAAGCATTTACAATCTATTTTCTGAAGCTTGCTACCTGAAGGCTTCATCTGCGGGAGAAAACCTTGATTTCCGCCACCCACAAGTCTGTATGGTAATACAGACATTCTTTTCTATTGGTAATAACTCTTTCAACCAATTGCCAATCAGAAAATCCTTAAATCTACCTCTGATCTGGAAGCCCCCCATTTTGAGTTGTCCCACCTTCCCAGATGGAACCAATGTACATCTTACATGTGTTGATTGATATCTCATGTCCCCCTAAAATACATAAAACCAAGCTGTATCCCAGCAACCTCGGGAACAGGTCGTCAGGACCTCCTGAGGCTGTGTCACAGGTGCATTCATAACCTTGGCAAAATAAACTTTCTTGAGACTTGTCTCAGATACTCTTTGGTTTATAGGACAACATAGAAAGTAAAATGTTTTCCAGTAATTTTGATGTAGGTGAGGAAAATTTGGGAATGTGAAGATACTCTGTGTATTAAGGAATCAGTTTGTGGCAAAAAATAGAGCACGGAGACAAACGTGGACGGTCGGACTTCAACCCAGGGCCAGCCCTGCAGTGTCTCTCAGCAGGAAGGTTTTCAAGCAGTGTAGGCTGATGTTACTTGCTTATTTTTTTTGTTTAGAATGGACAGAAAAGTGTTGAGGTAGAAAATAAAATGACAAAACTACTTTGTTCTCAGCACAAAGGAAGGCATTTAAGAACTGACCACTCTTCTGATTCTTTTGTCAATGAAAAAAACCCAACCATACATAATTCTAACCCTGAGTTCTTTCTTTCTTTTTTTTTTTTCTTTTTTTAGTTTCCATTACCATGCGCTCTCAATAAATCCTTCAGGAAACCAGGGAAAATGTAAGCAAATGGCCTGATGCATGCAGCTTATTTCACTATTACTTTACTGATATCTCCTTCCAGTTTCTTAGGCTGTTCTCAGCCAGATAGCTAAGGATTCTGAGAACTGTTTACCCCAAAGTTAACATAAAAGAGAGAAATTGGTCAGTTGAAAAAGACTGTTGGAATCTGACCTGATTTTAAATGCCTAGATACATTAGATGACAAATTTGTCTTCTGTTTTTCTTTTTTCTTTCTTTGGCTGTAATTATTAAAGATCTGAAGTTAGGGGAAAAAGAACTGAAATATATTTCTGACTAGACCTGGCAAAGTCTTTTTATCCATTTTTCTCACTAACATTAATATTGGGGAGTTAGAAAGAGGTGAAAGAGGAGAAAAAGAACAATATGGAGGAGGGAATAAAAAGTTATTTAAAGCATGCTTTTTGTTTTATGCTTTTATAAATACAGTTTTATCTTCACTCCTCTCTTGTCACCACCTCCCCCTACCCATGCTCTCGAGTTTTTGAAATACATTTTATTACGCTCATATATCATATCCCTACTATTTATGCTATTTCTGTTTCCTGATTCTTTCAAATGCTCACAGGATGTCATCAAGAGTGGATACCACTAATTGTGCTCAGCCTATCCAGCTGATTGAATTCCTCTTTCATTGCAGTTGGCAGGACAAACTTCAGTGTTGATTTTTTTGATTCTTATTTTCCCATTCAAAATCATAGTGTTCAAATTGCTACCCTTCTTTGGGCTACCTTTCTGTACTTCAGATGGTGGCTGCCTCTATGGACTATTCTTTCTTTCCTATTTGCATGACCCCCTCTCTTACTATTCTTGTTTTGCACCCATTATATTCTTTCACTCTCACTTTAAAAATTCCTCTTAGAGAATGCTGACTGAGAATGTTCCATAAAATTTCACCTATGGGGCATACAAAAATAATGATCTATCAAAGTCCTTGTTAGTGTTATGTTTCTTACCTTGGGGGTTCTTCAAAGTTGACTAAAAACAAGTTTACGAACAGCTACTGAGACCTGTTTCTGTCACTTTTTAACCTAGTAAAGGACTGGGGAAACGGCCTGAATGATCTCCTGTCATTCTGTCATTCATGGTTCAATGCAGAGTCTCATTTGCCACACCCCTACTCTCTTTCTCTAAATTTATGTTTTCAACATTTTTACAATTAAATCATGCACTACAGACAAATAATAGAAACATTTCAATATTTAAGGTAGATCACATACATTTAAGAGTCCACTAAAACATATATATATATATATATATATATATATATATATATATATATATAATCCATTTTACAAAAGGACACCGAAGTCTATAAGGGCTGTTGTCAGAGATACATAGCTAATCAGTGACAGAGTACAGAGATGGGATCAAAGACAGGGTTTTCTGGTATAACACGCTCAAAATGAGAAAACATCTATTTTCAAATTTAGATTATACAGCTTAAATGTGCCTGTCTGCAAAAGACTTCCAAGTAATTACCTGGATGACAACAAGTCTACACTATTGTTCTCTTTGGACTTGAACTGCTAACAATATAAAATTTACATGGTATAAAATTATTAGTCATTCAAAAAGGGGAAATTTATACTGTACATTTTAATAAAAATTATGCTTTTTTCTGAGTACTTATATTGAAGTCACTGCCAAATCTTTTATAATTCTTACCAATAACCCTATGATGTAAGTGCTATTATTTTTCCTATTTTACAGGTGAGGAAACAGACAGGAATAGGTTAAATAAAATGGCCACGTTCACCCAGCAAGTAAATGTCAAAGTTAGAATCTGAGCCTAATCAATTTGTCATGAGACCAAATTTTCAACAACTATCCTAAAAACAATATTTTTAAAACAGCATTGTCAGTATCACATTCAAAAATGTTATTAGGTTTCCGTTGCTGACTTTTCTTTTTGGGAAGAATATGAATTACTTGTATACAAGTGAATATTTTGGAAAATATGACAAAAACTGTAACATACTGATCATAGCTTTTTTTTATTTTTTATTTTTATTTTTTATTTTTATGGAGATGAGGTTTCACCACGTTGCCTGGGCTGGCCTTGAGCTCCTGGGCTTATGTGATCCCATCTCAGTCTCCCAAAGTGCTGGTGTGTACCATCATGCCTGGCCAATCATGCCTTTTTAAATCTTTGTTTCAGTGTTAACTCAGATAAGTAAAGATAAACACATCATCCATTTATAAATTCATATTCAATACATTCCCACTCTTTATTGATTGCTATAAATATATTTGGTAATCTTTCCTGGATTTTACTAATGTTTTTAGAAAAACATACCTATGTATGAACAAAATATAGATTTGATTTTTACTCAGTTTTCATTCATATGTAAACTAATTTTTAAAAATGAGGAGAAATATAGTTAATCAGTTCTGTCATTTCTGCTTTAAAAATGTAGTAACATTCAATGAAGAGGAATTTAGACATTTGAGGAAAGATAGTGAGAAAACAATATATAAATTTTCCAAATGACCATTCACACATAGTAAGCTGACCATATTTTCTTAATCAATAATCAAGATTCATTTTTTTGATAAATCAAATTGGATAGAAGACTAGAAATTAAGATCCTCGTGTCTCAATTTATAAACAGGATGTAAAGTAGCTGTGACTACACCCCACGTATCATTTGAGTTGGTGCCACTACTTAGATAGTAGCCCTAACCTGCTCTCTCCCTCTTAAACACTGGCTTTCTAAACAACTATAGTTGGAAATAAACCCCCCAAAACTACTGACCCTTTGGGGAATTCATATAGCACATACATTTAATATAAATATTCATGCTGCAGAACTGGTGTAAGTAGGAAAAACACTGGTGACATTCTTTTTTCCACTGGTAATTCCCTAGTAAGTAATTAAAAGCAAAGCACCACGTAAAAATATTCTGTAGTTAACTGTTTATTTTTACCAAAACAACAAATTTCAGTGAAAACTTTGAAATGTTAAGGAAACAAAAAACTTTTCAGAACAATTTATCCTCCCTTTTTAAATCAAGTAAACATAAAATTGAAATTGCTGAGTGACAGTCATATTAGGGCAGGAGACATCTTCTTCGCCAAGGAATGTCAAAGTCTCATTATTTATTGCAGGCTTGTTCTTGCCTTGAAAATTATCTAAGACAATGGCTCCAATATCCTATTTTAAAATATAAATCAATGTTTTCTGATCATGTTGATGTTTGAAGTTGTACTAAGATGAAGCTGAATCTTATTAAATATCTCTACCATTTAATAGGAATATGGTAATTTTCTTAACCTCTGATATTGATAAAGGTAAATTTAGATCCCAGTTAGAAATAAGAACAAGACTAAAGGAAGATAAATGAACCTGTATAATTCTTCTACTTGATATTGATATAGTTTAAGGTTGTCCTTCCCTTTCTGGTACAAGTCACATCTGTCCTATGATTTCCTTTAGAATTTTTATTATTTCTTTAAAAAACAAAATACTTAATGCTAAATGATGAGTTAATGGGTGCAGCACACCAGCATGGCACATGTATACATATGTAACTAACCTGCACATTGTGCACATGTACCCTAAAACTTGAAGTGTAATAATAAAATAAAATAAAAAATATTCCTATCTGGTCTTGGTTGTATAATTTCAGTATGGACTACATGGAAAGATGCCCTTAATACGATTCATACATGTCTCCATGGTGCTGTTTACAGACACATGAAAATTCTCAAATTGATTTTAAACATCTTACAAAAATGGCAATTAATCTGGATCTCTAGTCTAAGTTCTAAGATAGCTCCTTTTGGAACAGTAATTGAGACTAGAAAATATAAAAGAAGGAAATAAGTAACATCTTGAGCCAGAGACATTTATTTCTTTATGATGACTAATAAATTATTTTTAAAGTTAAACTATATATATACACACACATATAATAATTTAAGAGTTATATTCATTTCCCTCAAAGCTTTCTTCAGAGTTCTTCTGACCACAGAGAGAATTGCTAGATGAAGTAAAAGAGAAACTCATACCTAAACACAAACCTGTCTAAGAAAATCAAAATTATTTATTGTGAAGGAATAAGAATTTTAAGCACATCTCTTTGACCAAAGGGGGAAAGTGAAGGTATTTTCAAACAATAACATTTAAGCAGTCCCAGAAAGAATTATATACTCCTCAATTTTAATCATCCACTTCTACTCAAGTCCTCCCAGTAAAAATCACAACCTTCCACCCAAACGATCTACAAAAGCTGATGGCAGGAGTCAATAAAATTAAATATGAATGCATGCTGTTAATGGCTTAGTCATCTTTACTAAAATCTTGCTACTCAGATGAGGGTTTCCCCCACATGCTATCCATTTTCACTTTCCAATTCCAGGAATTGTTCCAAAAACCCTACAGAGCCATGGTAGGACTTCAGTTGTTTACTAATGCTTTTCATTCTTTCATGCCAAAGAATATGTATGGTACTAGGATTAAGAAAAAAAGACTGCCGGAGTAATGCCCCTTTTAGCTTATGTCCTAATTATGATGTCTCATTAGAGAGTTTGACAACATTGTTCATTACCTGCTTGAATAAATCAAACAGTACATTCAATGGCAATACTCCTGTATTATACAATTCATCAGTTCTTCATACGTTTTTCAGATAATGAGCTAATTTCTGGGCTATATAATTTCAAAGAAAAACAGGACATGAAAACACAAAACTTTCACTTGGCCATTATATAATGTACTGAGTTAGTTCACTAGGCATTTTTAAGGTATTAGTGAAGCATTATAGTTATATTTTAAAAAATATTTATGCCCAAAGTATGTTTACATGTTTCAAAAGGGGAAACATACTCTAAGAACTAGGTTGGGGGTGGGGAGAACTGCAGAAGCTACAAGATTGAGTTAGTCAAATCTAGTATAATATGTTAAAAAAAAAAAAGTCTTTCACAGAAATGGTGAGTGTCAACGATCACCAGGTTGGAGGCAGGCTTGCACAGACGGGGAGAAAGGAATCCACCATGTTTTTCTCTCCACCTTTTCTGTTTTTACCTGCAAGAGGAAAGATCAAGGCTGAAGGGAGAGTGTGGATGCCCAATTAGGGGCAGGAAGCCATGCACTTGGGGGATTTGCCCTATTTCCTTGATGGGTAAGGTGAAAGAATAAACACAGAAAGGTATCTTCCCCTACACACTGAGGACGGGGGGCCAAAGGGAGAAGACCGATGCCACAAGCTGTGGCCCAATTAAAACCTTTCCCTCATACACAGTGACTGACTTTCTAAGGAGCAAGCGTTGTAACTGAAGTCTCTCCTCAAAAAACAAATAAATGAAACAAATCTCGTGGATCCTTTGTAAATTTCATTCCACAGAGTGCAAGTCTATCTACTGAAACATATGGTTATGCCTTGAAGACTTCTAAGAATAAAAGTAATAAGGATAGATTGAAGCAATGGTTTGAAAAAGTTAATCAACGGTTAAGGCTGTTTTGTGAGAACTGTGTCTTGAGTTATATTTTATTTATTTCTTATGTCGATATATACATTCATAGTAAAGGGAAGGAAGTAAAGGACAATGTTTATAAAAAGTTGCCATGAACAATGTATGGACTGTAACTACTCATATTCTCTTTCATAAATATGGAACTTGAGGCTTACAGTGATTAATAGACTAGCCTAAGACCATAGGTTAGGTAGGCAAAGTGGATATCTAATCGATTTACCTAATACCAAAGGCCACAGCTTTTAGATCACACCATGCAAATCATTTAACAGCAGTATGTGTATATTAATACAGAAATATTGTTATAGAAAACCATGTAATCATTTAACAACAGTATGTGTATATTAATACAGCAATATTGTTATAGAAAACCATGTAATTAACAGAGTGATCACCTACCTCATTCCCCTACGCATAACTAAGGATAGTTATTATTAGAATTATACCATTTTATAGCCACTACTGCCCCCTGGAGATAGCTATTTAAATAGAAGAAACGGAAACTAGGAAAACTTGCCTATGCTGACTGCTTGTTGTAAATTCAGTCCTTACGGTAAATAGTAAAAAAAAGGTCGTAAGACATTTGACATTTTAAGCATATAAAATTTTAAATCCTTTTGATGAGAACTGAAAATCCTAATTTTAGATATATTCTTTTTTTTTTCTTTTGAACGCAGTTTGGGTAGTTTTTGGTATTTTACCAGAGTTTGCTTATCTGTGATTTGAGATTTTAAGTCTGAAAAGGGGGTGCTGTGAACAGTCACCAAGGGAGCCTTCCTAAACTCCTCCAGAGAGGGGTGCCATTTCCTTGAATTAGTCACTGTATCTACCAGACAATGTAGAAAGATATCAAATAGTGGTCCTCCAAGTTGCTTAGACCCTACACATCAGCGGGATCTGACATATTTCTATCAGTAACAGTTCCTTTCTTCTCGAGAAATTCTCAGGAATGTGTGAAGGAGGGGCGGGGTCAAGCTCTCATTATTGAGAGTCGCTAAGAGTGCAGGAAGCAGATGCTCAGAAGTGGGTTCTTCAGAGTGACGGACGTTAGACCATTCTGGGAATAATTACACAAGGGATCTCTACACTCTGGTGTGTCACAAGTAATTTGCTACTAATAAGATTGAGAATTCAGAAGTTTCTGCATTTTTTTCCCAAAGGATAAAGTGGATTCAAAGTTATCCTGGTAGCATGCTAACTCTCACTCACTTGCATCCCAATGCACTTTTAGGTGAAGGTGTTGGCTCTTCAGGGGTGCCCTGGAAAATGCACATGAACCTCAGCCACTCCCTTATGTCTTCCCATGTCCACACAATGATCATCACTGTTAGCTGGCATTAAGCAAATAACAATTAAAATAGTGTTGTGCTTTTTAGGGGAAAAAGGTTTTTTTGGATTTATGCCAAAATCTGCAATCAGTTATGAGAGTATAGTGTACAGTTAAACATGATGATGGAAAAGCACTCTGGCAGAGAAAAGATTTAGAACTGTGCCTTGCTGCTCTGATCTAATGGGGTATCCTAGCTAAGCGTCAGTTGCAGAATACTTAAACATTTCTTTCTCTCTCTGTGTATGTTTCATTTAATCCCAGTAGTGACAATTAGAGTTGGAGAAGCTATTGTAGGAATTCAAAAGCACTAAAATCTCTCTGTAGCTTCATAAACCGATGATGAGTTTAGAGGGTAAAAGCTTTTTCTGAGTTTCCTTCATTCTAATATGCCCAAACTTTTGTGACCAAATTAAATTTCCAGAAACTGGGTGGAAAGCAAGCCCACAAAAGGCTCCCTCAAGAAAGCACTGCATAGTCACGAGACTGGAAATGGCAGACTGCACAAAAATCATAGGTAATAAAACTGCTCGAAAGGGATTTTACGTCGTTAAGTTTTTTCTTGGTTATATTTTCAGCAATGAGGCTAAGGTGTTTTTGTCTTATTTAGTAAAATGAGCTGAAAAGGGAAACTATTAATGAAATTCTAATTTTAAACGAGCTAAAATGTTACTCTACTCTCTAACTTAACTTGGAATTATCAATAACTCAGAGTGTTTTGAGGGAATTACCTAATTAATTTGACAAACCATGTACCAACAATGATAGAGATGCACAATACAAAATTATATGGTCTGACTTCTGTCTTTGGGAACATTAAACATCAAGAAGGGAAAAGCATATTCATGTAGTTGAATTTGGAACACTAGTATCTGGCCACATTCTGGCTTTATAACTGATAGTTGAAAATATATTTTTTTTCTTTTTTAAACTTCCTTTGCCTATGAAATGGGAATAACAGTCCTTGTACTACCACCTCACAGCAATTTTGTAGGATGACGTGGTAAAATTTATAGGAAAATCCTATAAGTGTAGACATTATAATCTAAGATATTTAAATATTCTGAATGAACTATTTTTAACTGTATGAATTATACATTATTTTAAAAAGCAGGAAAACACACATCAAAATTTCATTTACCTATTTTTAGGCCAAAGAGCACATTATAAAATCAAGCTTTCAAGCCATCTAGTACAATTCATTTATTGGTTTTGCTATTGTAATTATAACTGTGTAAAGTTGAGTAGCTGAAAAAAAAATAACTACTATAGTTTCCCTTGTAATAGGCCAGCCATAAATATAACATGAGCAAAAATAAAATAGCAAGATCAGTATCAGTGACACTCTATAGAATAAACATTTATTGCCAAGAAAGTAAAAGGCCAGCAGCTTAGCTTTTCCACACTGATTATTTTATCACATTGAATATATTTGAATTAAGTTTTAGTTATAGTGTGCTACAGCCATGAGCTGGGTGTTCTACCTGAAATTAGACTGTCTGCATTCAAACCTTGTTCTTCCACTTAGTAGCTTTGTGACCTTTAGTGATTAACTTAGCCTCATTAGATTCAATTTTCTCATGTGTAAAATGAATATAATACAGTAACGATACCTGTCCTTTAAAATTAAATCTGGTAAACAATGTCTTTAATAAATGTTATATATCATTTTATGATATAATCAATACATGTTATATGACATATAATATATATTTTATTATAACATGCTATGTAGTTACATTCTGTCATTATATATTAAATTATATAATTATATATCTTTATTTTCATTTTATATTCATCATTTTATATAAATACCTTTTCACAGCCTAAAGATTTGAGTTGGAAAAATGTAGTATTTTACCAACATACATCACAATTACTTTCAAAATATGAACTAATTGCCATTTATTCATATTCTTCGAGACTTGTAGGTATCTCTGATTATCTGTATTGCTCTTGAACTTTGACATTATTGGCATAATTGTAGCCTAATTTGGCATAATTATCTGGTAAATACGCATGGATGTATGAATCACTATGGAGCACTGAAATGCATGCAGTGTCTAAAAGCTCCCAAGGCCTGCTAAGTTCTGTAAAGCTTTCCTACTGTCTCCCTGGAATCAAACTGAGTGGTAGAAGGGTTATTTTTTGTTTGTTTGTTTGTTTTGTTTTGTTTTTTTGAGACAGTCTCACTCTGTCGCCCAGGCTAGAGTGCAGTGGCACGATCTCGGCTTACTGCAACCTCCACCTCCTGGGTTCAAGTGATTCTCCTGTCTCAGCCTCCCAAGCAGGGGGGACTACAGGCATGTGCCACCACACCCAATAATTTTTTTATTTTTAGTAGAGATGGGGTTTCACCATATTGGTCAGGTTGGTCTCGAACTCCTGACCTCCTGATCCACCCGCCTTGGCCTCCCAAAGTGCTGGGATTACAGCCATGAGCCACTGCACCAGGCTGATTATTATTATTATAATTATTATTATTTGAGATGAGATGGAGTCTCGCTCTACTGCCCAGGCTGGAGTACAGTGGCATGATCTTAGCTCACTGCAACCTCCGCCCCCTGGGTTCAAGCAATTCTCCTGCCTCTGCCTCCCCTGGCCGATTATTTTTTAAGGGAGCCATGGGTACACACTAAATGTGCAGCAAAAAAAGAAATTCCAGTTTGCCAAAAGCTGACCAGTTTGATTATAAGAGACCCGGGAGTAATTAATTGCAGAAAAGAAGAAATCCTCCACGGGAGCTTTTCTCACTGTACTCTAGTGTGGAGGGAAAGAAAAATCTAAATTTATATTAGCGCATAACATAGTATCTTCTTATCCTTATATTTTAAGTTTTGAATTTGTAAGATGAAGTGTTCATCTAGATAATTTTCAAGACCTATCTTAAAATTTAAAATAATGTGAATCATTCTGAGTGAATTACCTATTTTGTGGCCATATTTGAAAAAATTCTTGAGTGTACCTCAATTTACGCTGAACTTGCATTGAAAAATACAATTTCAAATTATTGATGTACTTTAAAATTCCAGAAGTAATTGGGAAAGCTGTCATTTTTACTAGAGTTTTTGTTTAAATAACCACTAAGTTCTGACTTTAAATTTTCTAAATTCTGCATTTGTTATAACCAAATATGCATTTCAGCTCAATATTTTAGCTTTTGTGTATTACAATTATGGAGAACCAGCCCAGTCGTATTTCTTTGATCTGAATTTGTTGATTCTCAGTGGGAAGGGGAAGGCTTAATTTCTAGGCAGGTTTTGCTATCAATGGATGCATTGCTGTGGTTAGTGCAGAGTGGGGTCAGGATGGCTCAGAATGGCGCCCAGTTGTCATTGTTCCAGCCAGTGTGGGCAGCAAGGACCATTTTCCTGTCTCAGTTCTGCAAGGCTGATGAGATGGAATCTCTAGTCTGTCTCTGTGGCAAGACTTCGTTGGCCAGAGCAAGTGGAAAGTGGAGGCAATTATCCAAATATCTGAGGTAAATGTGTGTTTTTCTGCCCCAAATACTTGAAAAACTACCTCAACCATTCTCTTTGATTTGACTGTGATGATTTGGACCCAGATCTTTCTGCCTTTATATGATCGTCTCTTTCCTGGATCTCTTCCAATGCGTGCGTGTGTGTGTGTGTGTGTGTGTGTGTGTGTGTGTGTGTGTGGTGTGATGAGGTGTGTATACTTACACGCCTGTTTAACTTGGTGTGTATATTATATAGAACTTTTATGTCTATTCTTCTCAACTACATAATACTTAAATTGCTTAATTTAAAAGTCCTTTTTAATTTATTTTGGCCTGCCATACCTTAATAATAATTTCAAACATAAAGCCATATTTGCTTATTTAAGAATATGTTGAATGTAAGGATTCTTGAACACAATGTGAACATTTATGCCAGATACCACAGAAGCTTAAAATCTGATTTAGCACCAAGAGTTACACAAACTTTTCACATGGCAACATGCGGTCCTGTGGCCCTCACTAATATCCAAGGTCCCTGAGCTAGTCATGCAAATAGAACCCTAAATAATCCAAGAATTAATGATTACATCTGTTTATAATGCATGTCTTTGGCTTTATTTTTCCTACAATGTTTTAAAAATTATATATTTTGTATTAGCATATGCCAGATAGTAGGAACAGAAAGAGAAAAGAGCAGAAACTGAAATCAATAACTTTTACTATTTAGTAAAAATTAGTAAAAGAATTTGTCCTACCAGCTCCAGAATAGACTTGATAATCTTTCTGGTATAGTGAGTTTTAGAAATTAACTATAGATTTTATTTATCCATACTTTCTGGAGAAAGTCTAGTACAATGAGAAGACTGGACTGGGGTCCCAAGATTATTGTTTGCCACCATGTAGATGGAAAATACAGGGGAGGAACTCTTTCTCTCAGAGTCCAAGTTGTTAAATGAAGGGGTAGGAACTTTCTAGATAACCCATAGGATTAGTTCTACATTTAAAATTGTATTTTCAAATTTGAACATAAATGCAGAGATTTCATATAGTTACTGTGAAAAAGTGGGAAGGAGAAAAGACGTAACTAACACATGATTTGCCAATAATAGGACCATTAGAACACTTTTATCTTAGAGAAAGAAAATGTTTATCTATTCCATATTTCTTACAAAAAAAGAATACTAATTTTCCTGGACCATCATCTCCAAGTAAATGCTTCAGAACTAATTTTGTCTGGACAGTGAAGAGTGGGATACTCTGGATATTAACTCTGCTAATGTAAACCAGCTGGGAGTAAAATACCCAAGAGCATTTTCCATAGAAAAGACCTTTAGGCAACTATTATAGTACTTTAAAATACTGCAATATTATTCCAGCTAAAACGTATACTGACAGCTTCCATCAGGCTTATTGGCTTATTTATTTGTTCGACCGTGTTACTTTAACTTATCCAAGAGTTTAAAAGTGGTTTAGTAATCAACTAAATAGCCTTCTTAAGAAAAAATCTGGTAACCACGTCATTAGGCTAAGCAATAAAAACCTTAACAGGGTATATCAATAAAGATGACCTCTAACTAATATCTCTCTCCATTCTGTAACTGTATTTTTTCCTTAGAAATAAAGTGGAAAGCTGCATGCACACACACACACACACACACACACACACACACACTCACTTACACGGTGTTTTCACCTAAATACAAGTCCACGTAAGGTTAAATAAATAAGCTTCTAATGTAATAATGTAAACAACACAAACTTCTTTTGAGGAGAAAATGATTTACAGAGTTTTCATATCATTTGCTTTAGTTTCAGCTACTCTTTTTCCAAAACATTTTAAAATTCTATACAGCATATGTTAGAGTTGAGAACCAGGCCAAAAGAAAAAGTTTAGATAGCAAAGTCGTTTTCTTTTTCTTTTGTTTGTTTTTAAACTCAGATTTGAGTGAACAAACGTCATTTAATGTAACACATAAGATGTAAACAAATATATAGTATATAAGATATAATCTTAATTGCATTTTCTATTTTGGCAATTTCAGTGGCAAACATGTTTTGTTCACCCAGGTGGCAGGAAAGTGTTCCTTAGCCAGAAGCATTGCCAAAATATTTATAATACATCAGAAATACCAGAGAAAGTGGTAATACATGTACAAGTTAAAGCCTAATTTCTTTTTCATTTGGGGCCTAATTTTATGGTCTATTTTTGAATGTTGTCCAAAGGTGCACTCATGAATGAGAATTTAGATTTGGCAAGCTGCACATAGGTTTCCAAAATAAATCTTGCTGTATAAATCCTGCAAAACTCTTGCCTCTAAATGACACTCTTTTAGCTGAAGAGCTTTAGAAATGTTGTTTGCTAAAAAATATTCATACAGGGCTGTTCACAAGCATCAGACACTTACTTTGACGAGGCAACCCGAAATATACTTTTATGGGACCTAAGAAATAAAAATTTTATTGCAACAACAGAGGAAATTTGTATCAATACTCTTAATGTAGACTTTTATACCAGAAGCCTAAAAACATCTGAAGTGTAATACCTGGTTCTTATTTTAAAGCTAAGGCAATATAAGGCAACATATTTAAGACCTTTAAATATTAACATTTTAAATATTAATATTAACATTTTAAAATATAAATATTTTAAACATTTTAAACATAACGCAACATATTTAAGGCCTCTTAAATATTAAGTAATCTATAGTGATTTAAGTTCTAAATTCCTTCAGGTATATTATACAAACCCCTGTCTTAAAGGGGTGATTCTGAAATTACTCCTTTCACCAACAATATTATTTGGAAAATTGGAAAATTGAGGTCAATATGTGTTCTTCATAGGAAAAAAATAAACTTTCACTAAAATCTTCTATAAGTTATTTAAATGTCATCATATCAAGCATAGCATTTTAATCTCTTGCCACCATGCCTAGCTTATTTTTGTATTTTTGGTAGAGACGGGTTTTTTGCCATGTTGCTCAGGCTGGTCTCAAAGCAATACGCACTCCTTGGCCTCCCAAAGTGCTGGGATTACAGTTGTGAGCCACCACACCTGGCCATCAATTTTCATTTTTTATATAGATTCATATTTTATTTATCTAAATTTGTTAGAATCCTTAGGGGGCTGGTTGAAGGTGTCCTATTTCAGAGTAGATAATCTGCTTTTGCCAGGGTTGTGACGACACAAATGTTTATTTATTTATCTTCATCTTCGATTTTATATGTTAGACCTCCTGGACAACAGCATTTGAAGAAATGTTACTCTTGCAAAAATAATCTCTATACTATAGAAAGACTAACAGAAATGTTGCCAAAGTTAACAGATATAACTCATATAAAAGCCAACTTTGGAAAAGAAAAGTGAAAATTACATGGTCAATACAATCTCATGATTTGAAGTTGTTTGCAGAGCTGGAGGATTAGACAATGCATGCAACTTTACTGGCCTCTTTTCCTCAAGCATCTTTGGACCCAGTTATATGGTAAATAAATTAAAGTGCTATAGCTTTCTATAAGTACACATTTATGCTTTTACAGAATTACAATAGTTCATATCTTATTATCGGGGACATTTTCTACAGATTGTTTTTCTTTGGCGACAATTGCCACTGCTTTCTTCATTTCTAAATCCTACCATACATGACACAAAAAACTCACAGCGGGAGTGTTTTCTCTCAGTAAAAGGCCCCATGAAATCAGATCCAATGCTACATTTTCCATTGACTATATTTTTCCTACATTTAATTTTAGTTTTATATTTAGAGGCATTCAGATTTAACTACTTGACTGCTTACATTCTAAGCTCAATATACAATAAAAAGGCAAGGAATAAATTAAAACACACTTCTTTTCTGATAGAAATTGCTTTCATCATGCTGTATGCATATACTCACCCTTTTCCACCCACAATTACAAATGCGTGCACACATGCACACACACGCACACACACATGTTGATTAGGGCAGCAACACTGTTCTTACTATGTATTCATTTCCTTCAGTGTGATGTAGGCTAAAAGAAATCCACAATCTTAATTATGTCTAAATATTTATACTTTTGTTTCAGTCTTCTCTGATAAGGCATAATCATTTATACACAGAAATAATTTTGTTATAAAAAATTTTTTAGCGATCCTCAGATGAAATTGCTTTCCCCTCTACTGTGTTTACTGTCCTTCTCATTGCACCACTAATTTCAGCAGCTGCAGTTCAGATTACCAATATCTGAATATGGATTAAAATTAGTCCATCTCAAATATGGAAAGTTCTTATAGATTTCTACTGTCTACTACATAACATATTTAATATTTTTTACAAACATGTAATTTTGAAGGGTTGAGTGCAAATCGAATCTTTTAAAAGCAATTCACAATCTAAATGTGCTATTAGATTTAACTACATGAAATGTATTAGTATTTTATTCTTTTGCATAAAGTGAATAATCATCTCTTCAATTTATTTTATTAGAGAGTCTTGATCTAGATGGGGAAATAAAAAATAGATTAGCTTTTTAATGCCTTGTGGGACATTGCTGGCTACGAAAATCTTATGAAAATTACAAATCATTTTCCCAGGAAAATGTACATACACGTAGAATTTTATGTACAATTTCTGGTGGTCCATGGATCCCTTAAAGCCTGTTCATAGACTCCAGGTTATGATTTCCTGAACTAGATACAAAAGTATAATTAAATGAATAAATAGACCAATAATAATATCACTTAAGGCAGGGCATGTCTTATACATTGCTCACCATTATTATTAAAAAATAAAAACAACTGTTTAATTGTCTACCTTCTGGTTTAAATATATAAAGCATATTAGAACATCTATACATGTTTTTGACACAAGTTCTGCAATAGTCAAATATATTTGACTATTTTAATTGCAAATTTCTTTTGATATGAAATGGATACTTTTTCTATTATTAGAAATAAAGTTTGAAGAATGGTTATGACTCTGCTGACTTTAACAGAGGTAAGCAGTATTTTCATGTACCTGTATGGTTTTATTAGCATCCTACTATAGTGCAAGGACTTAAAATGCTGTATACGTTTTTATTTCTACATAATATTGGCTATAGCTTCTTTTTATTGATTCTCTATAAAAATACATATAGTGGTGATAATTAATTACCTAAGTATGTGTGGCTAGTATCATGACTACCCTTGCATTTCATCTGTAAAATTCCTCTTCACTCTGAATATTACAGAGTATTCTATGGTAATAGTACTATGAGTTTACTACAATGTAATCATATGAAGACATTTATGTCCACACACTGTAACATAACTCCTATTGCAATATTAATGCTAATTATTTTCATATGCAAGCAATTTCAATTAAATATACACTTTGGCTACTTCTGGAAATGACTTAACAGCTAGTGGTCTGACTAGGAAGAATGGTGAACTAATCCCTCTAATCCCTCTCCCTAATAATTCTTGAAAACAATCAATGTCCCAGATAACAAAATAAATGAAAATACTGAACCTAAATGAATTTTGTTTGACTTAGGATTTTGTAGTCTCATTTTTATTTGTTATTATTCAATAAGTGGTTTGTGGAATGTATTTCCAAGTTCATTCAGATGAAGAAACTTCAACTAGACTTCTTAAAACTCTATTGGAGAATATATTCAAATGGAGTAGAAGAGTTTTCAGCATTTGCCCAGTGTTGCTTAGGGACCCCATATTAACATTGCTCTAGAGGGAAATGCAGGAGCTGCATGAGATTGAGTAAAATTATATTGACCCAGATGTGGAAGGAGAATTAAAATAAACAAGCCACAAATATCATTTTATTGCCAATTTATCTGATAGTGTGAAAAGTAAAGGCAAAATGTACAATTAATGTTCAATAAATATTTTTAGTAGGTGAAATGTGAAAAAATAGTAATTTTAACTGACACTGAGACAGAAAGAGAGAGCTACGAAACAATGCAAAGGAACTCTGCCATTCACTAAAAAAAAAACATATATGAATTTTACAACTTAGGAGAGTAGATAACTGTGTACCAACTGCTATAAAACATATGAGAGAAAGCAATATATGTTATGAAAATTCAGAAGATCGGAGCTCATATTGGGGACATCAAGAGAAGGATTCATGAACTTAGTATATACTTTAAGACTTGAAGGATGAATAAGATTTGGTCAACAAATCATGAGAAAAAGACATGGAAGGAATACTGTGAATAAAGCAACTGACATGGAAGTTAAAGTGTATTTTTGTGGATTAGTTAGATGGTTGGAGTTGGTTACATGAAGTGAGATATTAAAGGTAAGCAAGCTGGGGTCAACACATGGTACTTCTTGGGTGCAAAACTAAAGGGCAGTCAGTGAAGAGCCAGCTCTTTATTTTAAACAAGGTGTGCTGTGTTCCCAGCCAGCCTCACTGCTATGGCAGCGGCCAGTAGCAAAGGGGTTGCATTTTTAATAAATGTATATTCCATCACAATCTCAATTATATTATTCATAAGAACGAAAACACTAATTTGAAAAAACCAGCAACAAATAAAAACATGATACATGTATAAATTAACTTTACACTCTAAGACAAAAGTGATAAATATATAACAGTTGAGGTTATAGTAAACAGCATCAGTATATATCTTTTCCATAGAAATAAAAAAGGAAACAGCACTATACACAACACACTAAAAAGTATTAGCAGGAAACGAGAACTTTTGGTAAGTCTACAAAGCACAAACATTTAGTAGGAGATATGTGGTGTAACTTTCTAGAAGATACGTAGTTAGTAAAACAAACAAAATCAGTGTTGTTTACTACTTGTCTGGCATAGATCATTCTTAGGCATGGGAAGAAGCTTAAGATCCATTCTTAAGCATGGGATTGAGACTCTAAATATGTAAGAATTTGCACCAGAGTTACCAGAAGATTATACATGTTTATGCAAGTCAAATACTTTTGGTTTTGTAATTTTAAAATGTTGAAACTCTTACCTCTCACTACAAGGTCAGCTGAAGCTGAAGAATTGTCCACAATTGTCTGGGCAGTGCATGTGTATCTTCCAGCATGTTTCAGCTGCGCATTTCGGATTAGTAATTCCCCATTGGAATCCAGCTGTTAGCAAAAACAGCAATTATTCAAATCAGTACATTTTTCACCAATTATGTGGCATTTAAGATCCAAGAGGTAGTTTTTTCCCCTAACAAAATGAACACCACTTAAAGAATGTGTTTTAGACATGCTAACTCTATGTCCTTGCTCTAGGCTTCAGTTTCTCAACTGAAAAATAAAGTGAATAATTTATTGATAAGGTATTTTTTAGCTTTCATATCTTTAACATTCTATTATTTCCACAATCAGAGGGTTATATCGAGAGAAACTCAAGGGATGAAACTATTTCATTGATATCTCTTAAAGAGAAATATTAAGGTCTAATAAGTATCAATAAGTTTTAAGTATCAATGAGTACAAACAAATACTATATGGTTTGGAAGAATGATTGATTTGGTTTCACAAAGCTGATCTAATTGACTAGTTTTAATATGTGCCACAGTTCATTTTACAAAGATACTAAAAGTTTGCAGAAATTGAGAAAATGTACAATTCCACTAACATGTACTCTGTTGCCAAATTATAAGTTCTGCGAGGACAAGAGTATTTGTTTTGTTCAATGCTCTATTCTATTGCCTCCAAGAGTGTTCAACACATATTTTTGAGTCTTGAGGAAATTTTGCTTGTGATGATGAGACACCATTTCAATGTAATTTCCAAAAATAGCTAATAGTTATTCAATGCCTACTCTATACCGGGTCCTGGTCTGTGCAAGTATATACATACATACATACATACACACACACACACACACACACACACACATATATACACACACACATATACACATACATACACACATACAGGCACACACACACATACACACACTTTTATTCAATTCTTTTTTGACAACTGCCCTATGAGATAGGTCTTATTATATCCATTTGATTAACAGTAAAAGTTAGACTTAAGGAATCCAAGTAATTTAACTAAGATAACTAAGGTCACTCAGCTTGTATGGTAGCAGGAGCATGTCAAAGTTCATGTTAATTATCTCCAAGATATTTTCTTAGAATGAAAACTTGGAAAACTCAATTTTTAAATGGACATTTGGTTTTCCTATGAACCAAAAATATTGATTTACTATTTCAGTGATAAATATCTAGATACCTATGATGTATCATGACTGTACATGGAGTGAACGTTTTGCTTCACCATAGGTTCTACCAATAACCTCTTCATATATCATGTTCCCTCCAGTTCTTGGAAAACATTTGGGTTTGCAACCCTTGCTGGATTAATGAGGTTAAGAATAATAGCTGAGAGAGCATATTGGTATAGTTAGTTGGAACAGAATATTAATATCTCCATATAAAGAACTGATCAGTGGCCACACACCTTAATCCTTGATATTAGCCAGTCTTAATTTAATGTCGATTGAGATCTTCCAGTCCCTTGAGGTATAGATTGGTCAAAAATTGAAACAGTTCCCAAGATTTCTACAAATTCCTGCAATAGGGGAGTTTTTTTCCTTCTGTCCTCTTGGTCTGTTATTTATTTATTTATTTATTTATTTATTTATTTTTGTCATACCAGGGAGCTCCAGACTAGAAATTCAGCACTTTCTCTATTTTATCAGAAAACCAAATAGCATGAAGTCTTACCTAGTAAAGTTAGTTTACTGAACAACTGAAGGAGCTGGAACTGGTTATATCAAAAAAAAAAAAAAGGTAGGGTAAATCAACCTTGAAAAGTATCATCCACTGCATAATTCTGTTTTTAAAAGTCCTGTTGGCCGTAAATTTACTGGGAATTTCCCAGTAACCTTCACCTCTCCCAGTGCTCTGCCATCTTGTTGGCAGCCACTCCTACTACCAATCTCTTACTTCTCTCTTCTTTTCTCTTCTTTCTCTTGGAAATAAATAATTCTTATTTTCTCATATTAAGCTGTTTGATTGTTTGATTTTTACTTGGATTCTGACAATATCTATTCTGTTTTTAGTTTTTCCATTTCTTCATTTCTTACTCTTCAATCAATTCTCATCTGAGTCCCACTGCTTCAGCTCATCTTATTTGACTTCTTGATAGCATTTGGCTTTCCTTCCTCAAATACTCATTTTTTTCTAGTCATCTGACTTTCCAGGAACTTCTAGGACATTCTTAACCCCTCCCTTTCTTCAACTTTCTCATAAACTCATCATAAATTCTTGAATTTATCCATTCTTTCCATCACTACTGCCTCTTGTCCAAACTACCCACATCTCTCACCTGAACCCCTACATCTTATTTGATCACTACTTCCACCACTGTTCCACTCTATTCTTTCCTCTATTGGTTACCTAGAATAACCTTTTAAAAATGCAGCTGGGCCCAACTCACTTGTCTCCATAAAAGCAGATAAACTGAAACCTTTAAAATTTCCCTTTCCTGGGACAAAAGCCATAGCATTATTGTAGCCAACTTGATTCCATTCTCTAGGCTCTCTCTGATGCTCCAGCTCACCTAGTGTGCCATCTCACTCACACTCTGCTCTCCAGGCAGAACATTCTCTTTTTAGGACCACAAATGTATCTTGTTCTCTTCAGTCTCTGGTTCATCACATTGTCTTGTCTTCTGGAATTGTGATTCATACCCCTCATAACCTCAATACCCCCTCCCCTATCACCTTCACCTCTACCCAATACCAGTTGAAATCATTTTCTCCAGCAAGTCTTTCCATTTTCTGTGGACTAGGCAGGTACCCTTTCTATATTTTATTATGCTACCATGAAACTTCTGTCATATTACATATCGTAAATGCAGTTAAACACTTTTGTGATTATGTGGTTGAAGTTGTTCTCCCTGGCCGACTATAAGTTTGATGTGAGGAAATACGTCTGTTTTATTTAGCAGACATGTTGTATCCCTGTGTTATATATGTATACAGCTGTATGCGCTGTCTTCTCAAGTCCAGCACAGTGCCAAGCAAATAATCACGCTAAATATGCCTTGTTTGAATGAACTTGTCAAATTGTCAAGAATTTTGGTATCTGCTCTTAAGATAATATGTATTCACTTCTTTTCAGCTACATTCAGAATTATGTTAGCAAGTACATATAACCCATGACAGTGACAGCATTTACTAAACAAATAATGAGGCTTTTCTTGTGTGAGAGTGAAGTACACACACCTTCAGCCTCCACAGATTACCCCTGCACCTAACTCCTGTGCCCCAGCCACAGTGAATAGGGTATACTTTGCTATGTGTTCTCACGTCAAAACTTTGCATATATCACTTGCATTGCCTGGATTGCCCCACCTCCCACTTCCATTACTTGGCTATGAATGTTCAACCCACATTTTGGATACCCCTCCCATATCTGAAATTGTAAGGCTGGATTAGTTATTGCCCTCTGTACAGTTTCATTGTAACTATTCCTTTCTACCGTAATCGTGTCACTGTTGATTTCTTCCACTAGACTGTAATTCCTTAAGGAAAGAACCAGGTCTTATTTATTATTACATACAAAGTACTTAATGTAATATCTGACATACAAGAGAATTCAACAAATATTGAATAGATACATTAAAATAATCTAAAGTGTTTTTATTAAATAGACATTCTTTCAGTAATTTCAAATGGTTTTTTCAGGTAAGATAATGATAATGTTATGAGATAAAATAACTGACTTGAGAAAAACTATTGCTATCCATATCTATGAGATAAACTACCAGGAATGATATATTTCAAATATCTATACACTATTTTCATAAGAAAATAGAAAGGTTATTGGGAAGGTGTGAAAATTTATAGAGAAAACAATATCACTAACATACAAGAAAACTGAACTTCTAACTTTTCCCACCCCTATGTGTAGTAAAGAGTTTAGCCTTGCCCAAAGAGAGGTCTTGCCATTGCCCTCAGCTTCTAGAAGGTAATCTCTATAATATCTTTCTTTGCTTGGGAAGTCTTGGGTCATACAGGATAGTCCAATCATATGATTTAGAGTAGGGGTTAGCCACACCTCTATAGTCTTCAAGCTGGGGCTGGTCATAGAGTAGGAGTTGGGTCATACTGGAAAATCCAACCATGTGATTTCGGGCAAGAGTTAACTACACCTGTAGAGTCTTAGAGAAGGGCCTGGTCATGCCACAAATAGGACATTTTGACTTAGAGTAGGGTCTTCGATTCATGTGGTATCAGTCAACCTAGAGACTGAGATTAACCATGTGAGCAATGAGTCCATCAATCATGTCTAGTTGATGAAGTCCCCCCAAAAACTCTGGACAGAAAGGCTTGGTAAGCTTTGCTGGTTGGCAGTACTTCAAGCATACTGTCACACATCAGAGCAGTCAGAGTAATGCATTTTAACTGCACGGGGAGAAGATAATAGAAGCTCTGTGTTTTGTACTTCTTGACTCTGCCCTGTGTGCTTTTTCCTTTGGCTAATTTTAATTTGTATCCTTCTCCTGTAAGAAGCTGTACCCATGTATATAACAGCTTTAAGAGAATTCTGTGAATACCTTCTAGCGAAGCATGGAAACTGAGGGTGATTTTTGCAACCCCTTGAACTTGCAGTTGGTGTCAGAAGTGAGGGTGGTTTGGGGGACTGTGCCCAACTTTGCAGCTGGCCTAACTTCTTATACTAAATAGAATTCATCTAACAAAGGAGGTAAAAGATGTTATTTTATTACTTATATTAAAATTTTTTTTGAGGTAAGCAGAGAATAAGATTCATATATAGAGAAGGTAAATATGAGTTTTTCTTGGTCTATCATAAAAGTTAATTGACATATATGTCTAAGTAATTTTTAGTGAGGAAAAATAAAATATAAAATAATTATTGTAAAATAAAATAAACATTACATATTTGTTAAATAGACTGTTTTGATGTTTCTTGACATCCTTAATACAAATGCACTTGATACTAAATATTCAATAATATAAATGTATTAAGTAAAATCTTTCAAACTATTACGACACAAAATGATAGTTATATTTGGAAAGAATAATGTCTGCATACAAGTAAAAAGCACTTTTTTGGTATTTATTCATTAAATGAACTCAGTACTTTGGTTGCTTCGGTGTCTAATTGAAAGATAACCCTGTTACTAAACTCCCACTATTTCAATGAGCCATGTCATTAGATTTGAATTTTCAAAAAAATCACCTTAGCAATTTAAAATGTTTCTTCATTGAACTTTACAACAAAAAATTGAGGGCAGAAAGTAATATAAAAATAAACATATTGTGGTATCATAATTGCCCTTTTAAAAATATTTATGTGATGTATCTAATCTTCTTTCTTTCTTAATGAAATTGCTATCTTTTTTCCCTAAACTCTCTTTGAAACATGGTGCTGTTTATACATTCACTTATTTTATTCTGATAGGAATAATGTGGTCATTCTTCTTATACTGTCACATGTAATAAAAAGCACAAACTGTTTTATATCCTAGAATACATTATATTAAATTTATATTTATTAATTTTTCACCATGAACTCTTTTACGATTTTTAAACTACTCTAAAAGTTTAATGTTAAACTAGTTTGAAAATTAACTCTTTTATCGATAAGCCCACTTGCATAAAGCAGTAAGAAGCAACTGTAATGTTTATTCTCACTGGTTCTACATTTGGTGAACATGTAGCAATAAAACTTCTCAGAAGGAAAGAAGAAAAAATATAAAGTATCATTCCCAATATAGTTGTGTATGTATGAAAGCACTCCTAAAGTTTTTGTAAATACTACTAGCACTTTCCATACCTCAAGAGAAGTTGAGGTCCTCAGTGGTTGGCAGAACGCTTACAAAGCAAGTAAAGATCATGGGCCTCAGCACATTCTAGCCACAAATTAGATACAAATGCTCACTGTATTTTTACTAAAAGCCACAGCTTGGCTCAATTACAAAATTCCTCCCTTCAGATGAGGAGAGTTGAATCACATACTGGAAATTGTGATAGCAAAGCTCAGGGATGTTCCAAAGTGTATATGTGGTTGACCACTTAGAAGTTTCCCAAGTTTAAATCAAAAGACTTCCAACATATAAATACCCAGCCCTTCCTTCACCTTCCCCCGTAAACTAACTGCAAAATCATTTCTGCAATGTAAATGAGTCTCAGTGATGACGCTGTATTAACAAATTGAATTAATCTTAGTGAACAAAGAAAGATTCTATATGGTACAGAAAAGGTCTAGATAAAACTTAGAGCTCATAATTGTCATTTAAATAATTTGTTCCATTCAAGTTCAGAGTAAAGGGAGAGATATAGATGTTTGGAAAGAAGTGCATCCTTTAAAGAATATGTTTCACAAACATAAAAATTATTAAATATGTCTGATATATGCTATATCCATGAAATAATAAAACGTTTCTTCTTTACTTTTGGCTTGTTAGAGTAGAGAAAGCAAAAATACTATAGCAAATATGTCATATCCAACTGCAAACATTACTACCACCACCAACTCTACTAACAGCAGATATTTAATTAGGGTTAACTAGGTGTCAAAGGTTGTTATAAATATACATGCGAACTGACTTACTCTTAATAACAAGCCTATGAGATACGTACTATTTTTAGCTGTATTTTACAGAGGAAGACACAAAACTACTATAACTATAGCCACTAATATTACTAGTGTCGCTATTAATACTACTAAAACTGCTCCTATTACTATTAAAATGGCTAATATAACTTCTATTGTTACTGCCACTACTGATACTACTATTGAACTCCTACTATTACCAAATCTAATTTACTGAATGTTTTTTAAATGTCTAGCAATGTGCTAGCTACTTTACATACATTTTCTTATTCAATTTATGTAATTATATTTATAATTTCATAGCCCTAATAATGAAACTAGGACTATCTCCTTTTCACTTCTGAGTTCCAGAAGTAACACTACCCAAAGATTTACTATTAATATTCCCATTTTAGAAATAAGGACCTTGAGATTTTACATTAAGCTACTTGTGGAAGGCTCCATAGGTAATATATAGCCCTAGTTTCACCAAGTCAAGCTGTTTCCAAGGTAGTGCTTAATAGATCAGATAACTGGATTTAGTGTTTGGTAAGTAGATGTGGTGCTTCTTCATATATGATATGTTGTTATTTTACTTATTTTTTTGCTATTTAAATTTTCAAGCATAAGTAGAAAGAATAGTACTATCACCATCTATAAACCAGCCAACTAGATTAACAATTGTAAACTTTTTGCCATATTTGCCTTATCTAATTGTCTAGCTAACTAGCTCTATATTTACTTCTCTCTGTCCACTATCTCTGTCTTTCTGTCTAGGACTGAACACTTGAAAAATAAATTCCGGATATTATGATATCAATACTACTCAACTCATCAACTCATCAGCAATTTCTAAAGACATTAGCTTGAATCTCAAAAAATTGAGGTCATTTTCTTACATAATCACAAAACCATTTTCCTTTTCTTCTTTTTTTTTTTTTTTTTTTTTTTTTTTAAATTTTGAGACAAAGTCTCACTCTTTCACCCAGGCTGGAGTGCAGTGGCACAGTCTGGGCTCACTGCAACCTCCACCTCCTGGGTTCAAATGATTCTCATGCCTCAGCCTCTCGAGTAGCTGGGATTACAGGTGTGCACCACCACCCTAGGCCAATTTTTGTATGCAAAACCATTTTCACACATAACATAATTAACAGTAATTCTCTAATGTTATCTAGTTTTTGTTAGGGTTATTTTAAGAAATGCATCAATATTAAGATTGAGTCAAAAACATAAATAAAATGACAAAACAACTTATTAAAGTGAAGTGATGTCATTGGACATACAAAAAAATAAATAAGGCAAGTTGTCCAGGATAATTTCTAAGATTACTAAGATAATTACTAAGAGTGTGTTTGCATATAAATTAAGAGTAGACGTGTTGAAAATCTCTAAATTTGGCTATTTTTGTATGTAATAAACAACGAGAATGACAGCTGAAGAGTCCAATTTTGATCAGCTGGCCATTTTAAATGAAAACTCAAAAGACCATTTTCTTTGAGGTTTCTCCTAAGCATTTTGAATGATGGACAAAAACATCAATGCCTTTGATTTGGAACCTATGTTTTAGAGTTGAAATACAACTCATATATCATTTAATTTATATGGTTTTCAAGTTGGTTCCCCTTAGCTTTAGAGTTCTAAAAATCTTCTTGGACCACTTTGTAGAAAAAAGTGATCAGAATGGACATTTTATATATTATATTATATATATATGCTTAATTCCATTCACCTGGCATTCTTATATATATATATGCTTAATTCCATTCACCTGGCATTCTTATCAACAAATGCTTAGTAAGGACTATGAGAAGTTAGGCTAGAGAGTGACATCAGCTAACATGGTCTATACATGGGAAGTGTGATGATCTTAAAAGAAGCTAGCCCAACTGAAAACACACCCAGGAACATAGATACCTTCCTTCGTTTAACACTGGTAAATAGCAAATAAAATATAGCAGTTAGGTATCAGTAAAGGTTTATTAAGGTAGTAAAAAGGGGATCAGAAAAGTTATATATTCATACAGAATGAAGTATGATAGAATTATCTAATTAACTCTTTTCCAACTAACTACTGATAAGAAAAATAGAGCAATTTGACATTGGCCGAATGCTTTTGTATGTTTTGTGTGTCACAAGACTGTGCCAGGAGCCTGTATACTTTTTATGTATTTCTCCCTCTTTTCCACTGCTCATCAAAATTTAAGAGTCTTAAATTCAAGAAGCACATAAAACCCATCCTCTACTACTTAAACTATTTTGGATATGCATTTTGAAAAATCTAGTTTCTTTTTATTCGTGTCCCCAATACTCTCAGATGCTCAAAACAATATAACATCTCTTTGTTTCCAATACATCATGCTTAAAACCTTGCAGTGGCTAGTCCCAGTATTGCTAAGTCTCTTTTTTAATATCTTTCTTGAGGACGTTTCTCAAGCTTGGTTCTATCGATAATTTGGGCCAGATAATACTAGGTTTTTGGAATCTGTCTTGTGCATTATAGGATATTTAATAGCTAAATAGATGCAATACACACACACACACACACACACACACACACACACACACACACACACCCTCTCAACACCTCTACAGTTGTGATAACCAAAAATGTCTCCACATGGGACCAAAGTTACAATACTTCAGGGCTTCCACGATCTCCCTGTGGCTGCCTGGTATCCTGCTCTAATTTTTTTCGGCTCGAATCTGATTCTTACCAAGGATTATTGCCCAACCGTCCTCGTTTTCTCCCACATAATTCTGGATAATCTTAACCTTCTTGTTCAACAGTGAATAGAGGCCGGGTGCGGTGGCTCATGCCTGTAACCCCAGTGCTTTGGGAGGCCGAGGCGGGTGGATCACCTGAGGTCAGGAGTTCGAGACCAGCCTGGCCAAGATGGTGAAACCCCATCTCTACTAAAAATACAAAAAAATGGTCAGGTGTGGTGGCAGGCACCTGCAATCCCAGCTACTTGGGAGGCTGAGGCCAGAGAATTACTTGAACCTGGGAGAGGTTGCAGTGAGCCGAGATTGCGTCATTGCACTCCAGCCTGGGCAACAAGAGCTAACCTACGTCTCAAAAAAAAAAAAAAAAAAAAAAAAAAGAAAGAAAAGAAAAGAAGAAAACCCACAAAAACAGCAACAACAACCAAAATAGTGAATAGAGACAATGAAATATTGAACAATGAGATCACATGGACACAGGAAGGGGAATATCACACTCTGGGGACTGTTGTGGGGTGGGGGGAGGGGGGGTAGGGATAGCATCGGGAGATATACCTAATGCTAGATGACGAGTTAGTGGGTGCAGCGCACCAGCATGGCACATGTATACATATGTGACCTGCACAATGTGCACATGTACCCTAAAACTTAAAGTATATAAAAAAAGAAACCTTTCTTTCTAGTTATAAGCATTCTACATAAAATGTAAATAAAAATAAAAGATTAAATTGTAAAAAAACAAAAAAAAAAACAAATTGACTTCTGTTTTATCATTTTTCCTCTCCTTTTTCTTGTCTTGCAGAAACAAAATTTCTGTACAAGATCACAGCATGATCTAGTTTTAAATACATATTTGTAAAATCTAAAGACCTTTTTTGATATGTTTAATAAAATTTTTCTTTAAAAAAGGAAAATAACGTTTGGGTGAGAAATCTGTCTTCTTCTCTCTTGAATGGTATTGCTTATGCACTCAGAAAAAATGCACACCCACATACCTGCAAACACACACCTAGCATACCTGTCTACAGGGGATCATTAGGAATTGCCAGGAACTTCATAGTTAGACCACTTGAAACTGTGTAGACATGACTTACAGTGTATTGCAAAGGTGGCCAACAGTGTAGGGAGAATGAAGTAATTTGGGCAATCTGAGTGAGCATACAAGGTTCATTAAACCAGATTAGAGAATAAAATGTGAATTGAACAGTATTGCCTTGTAGAGCATCAAATACTTATGGGAGAATTATTTAAATAGACACAGACATGAACATTAACCAAAAGATGAATCAAAGTGGTGGAGATTACAGGGTTGGCAGTCAGGCCACCTGGTATCAAATCTTCTGTTAGCCTCTAGCGACTTGTATGATTACATGGGACCAGTTACTCAACTTTTCTAATACTCACTTTCCTCACTTTGAAAACTGAGAAAATCACAATAATATGCACTCCACAGAGGATTTCTGTGAAGATCAACTGAGAAATATGTGAAAAACATTTAACCCAATTCTGTCTAAACAGTAAGCCCACAATAAATGTTGGCTATTATTACCTCTTCACTGCCTTCAGCAATGAAATACCCAGATTTTTTTTTTTTTTTGGTCTCAGTCTAAGTATCCAGCACAGCAAGCAGTGCAAGTATTAAATTGTGAAAAATGAGATCTGTGGCTCAAAAAAAAAAAAAAAAAAAAAAAGAAAGAAAGAAAAACTAGCTAGCAAAAGCTTCTGGAATTTCCAATGGGGGATGATTGCTCTCTTATAAAAAGTATTAATAACCACTTATATACTTTATTCGTGTCCCCAATACTCTCAGATGCTGTGCCAAGTCTCTATATGCACTCTTTCATGAAGTAACTAGTTTTTCAAACCCAGTGAAGTAACCTGAATGAAGTAAGTGAATGATTAATCACGTTTTACAGAGGGAAATTCTGAGGCTTAGAGAATTTTAATCCCTGGATCAGAGTCACCACATAAGAGGTGAGAAAATGAAGCCTAAAGCCCAGGTTGGTTTGTGACACAATCTCTGAACAATTCAAGTGATATTTATGAATTCATATAAGACAGGCAATAATGTCCCACAGTATTACAAATTTAACATGTATTTGTAATAAGAGTAATACATATGTGTGTGTGTGTGTGTGTGTGTGTGTGTGTGTGTGTGTGTGTGTGTATATATATATATATATATGAAATAGTGACAATCTCCAAAACTGGAAATTTTAAGGAACTCATGTAATTAACTAACTTAATGGCTCTAAGCAGGGAATGTTGTTAAACAGTTGAAAGAAAATGACCCAAAGTGAATGTCAAAAATTGAGGGCTACTGAAAAATTCTACAGGTTAGGTGCCACCTTGAAAGAGGAATAAAATGAGATATTTAAAATTCATATTTTTGATAGATTGTCTTAAGTCTTTTCTGGAACAAGAAAAGTTATACATTAAATGAATAAATAAAATGGCTCTGCCTTTTGTATTTACTCCAAGGCATTAAGTAGCTATTGAATTAGAAAGCCAAAACAGGAGCCACTTTATAATTGGACTTGAAACATTTATGATCATTTGCCATATAACATCAACAAAATAAAAGAATGGCAGATAAACTGCTTTAATATCTTATTGTATCAAAGCCTCAGATTTATTAAATTTCTGCTTCGAGCTTGTATTTTTAACATCCCCCATGCATGAGTTCAAGTTCCAGTGGAACATCTGACAATTATTACATATTAATATAATACTCAGGAAATTTTTAGATGTTTAACTCCTTAGTGTTTTTCTATAATCAGTACTAGGTGTGCAATTACTGCCTTAAAATTGAAAGTTACATTAAAAAATAAATTAATCCCAAAGTTTTACATAAAGTAGGATTACTAAATACAAAGACAGTGTTATTTTTGCTTTTTTGGTGTTCCCATTAAACTCTTAAAAGAAATATACATCTTTAAAAATGTACAGTTACATTTTTCCTAATAATTACATAACTTTAATTAGAAAAAATATAAAGAAGACATTTAAAAATCACCTATAATCTCACAATTTATTCATAAGTAGGAGCAAATGCATTTGTTTAATTTCATGAAGGAAAAGAAGTCCCAAATTACACCGGGCTGTGAAATTTGAATCCTTATACAAGGTTGCCCCTTAGTGGTTAAAATCAAGAATAGCAAGCTAAAATCAGTGCATACTTAATTATTGAATTCAATTTATTATTGAAACTAAATTGGAAAATAAAAACTTAGGTTCTTGAAATAAAAAGTTTAAAATTTGATTTCCCTATTCCTTTTTATTATTAGTCAGAACTTCCTGTATTAGTTTTTAGCAATGAAAATTGTTAGAACATGTTAATTATGTTGGTTTTGTTAACTGTAATAGCTACCAAAAAACATTTACATCTGAATCTTAAACTCTTGGGGTATCATTGGTTTATTTTGGGCTGGTGTCCATGTCTATTTCAGTGTTTTATTTAACCTAGTGCCTACAACTGTGTCTGCTTATGGCATGTGCTTAGTACATATTCTTAATGAACAAATGCTATTCAATTGTTGAAATATTGGGAGAACTACATAAAATACCAAATCATTATTTAAGAGACATATATATATTCACTAAGATTTTCATAGGAGGAGCCACTAATTCTGAGAATGATCTATTAACAATCCTAGAAGCAATTAATAGCTGTTAGGACTATCTTCCAAAAGGTGGATCAAATATTTATAGCGTTTTTACTTAAATTTTGCATGGCATATTGACCAGTGAAGTTTAACTTTGTAGTTTGCCTTAAAAGAGAAGGAAGGTGCCAGGGATAGCTTCATTAGTCTTGTGTTGGTTTGAAAGATAGAATTCAGTTTAATTATTTATTTTAAAATGATTCTTATCCAGGCTTTTTAAAAATCGAGATAATTGAATGCATCTGTCCATCTATGACATGCTAAACATGTGCATTTGATATTCTGATTCAATTAAGATGCTTATCTAGTCAGTTGAGTAGGTTTGCTCCCACTGTCAGATCATTATTTGATGGAATGAACTGAAACCTGAGGTGGTGAGCCTGCGGTCAGGACTCTGCTCTGGATTAGCTGGAGGGGTAACTATGTGAATCTCTGCAGCTATCATCTGAAAAGGGAGAGTGTGCACTAAGTGGCCACAAGGTCTTTTACATTTTTATGGTCTAATTTATTATTTGTTTCCTAATTAGTATTCCAGTTATTTCTTTGTTTTCCTGTTTTTTTTTTTAAAGGGGACTGGGATCTATTTTTCTTTCTCTTTAAATTCCTTTTTTTTTCCATTTTCTTTTTGCAGTCATTATTTACATGTACCAGCACAATGTAATTAGTATTTTAAAGAATATAAATAAGCTCTAAATATGAAGTTTCAGTTTAGGGCAATTTTTGTCTGCAAATTTATTTACATAGACTTCATTGCAGCTATTAGTTACTACTTTATAAACTATGGTTGTGGAACTTCTAGACTTTACTTTTGAAATTATTCAATTTATAACACCAAAGATAATTCTTTCAAATTCAGAAGCCTACTTTTTGAGAAAGTAAGATCCCTGTTTAGCTTACTTTTTTCCTTTAAAATGAATAAAACCCAAGTTGTATTTACTTTTCTTGCAAAATAAAATACACTTTAAATAAAGTATTGGAGATTTTGGTGCCAATTTGACTAATTTTGGGCATGTGCAAAATAGTTTCAGATCTATAAGGAAAATATATTACATGGTATATAATGTCAAAATACAAAATTTACAGTTCTCTGCCAATTCTCAATTGTTATTCTTTAAAGTATAATTTTGGTTCAGAAACTGAAAGAGTATTGGTATGTTTACTAGAGGTGTACAGTTGTAGCTAGATCAGTTAAATTACAACTCTTCTAAAGCTAAAAACATAGCTGGACAATATGAAAGCATAATATAATAATGTGTACATATCAATCTTCAGATTTTATGGGACTTAAACAATCCTAAATGTCCTACTGAG